>NC_000013.11:78408106-78560946 GCF_000001405.40 Homo sapiens
TATATGGTGGTTACTATGCTAGGGTACAATAGATTCTGCAAGCCAAAAAAGATGGTTTCTATTCTCACGGACACTAACAATAATAATCTAAGACAAAACAGTGTTTTATGGCAAAGCCAGAAAGAATCAAAATACTGTCATATATTTAAATAGGAAAAAAGATTACTTGAACAGGAGGCATGGAGACTTCCTTGAGGTAGTGGAATTTGAGCTGGACAATTAAGAAAGGGTAAAGTTTCAACAAGCGAAAGGATATAATTATATAGTAGAAACATGACTATCATCTGAAAACAGAGAACTGCTCCATCCCTTAATGGCTTTGTTACCCTGTGCAGCGACTGAACCTCTCTGAACTTGTAGGGCTGTGGTGTGGAATTAGAAAGAAAGTGTGAAAGCAGATCTGTAATATGCAATGCAGATCTGTAATGTGCAAGACAACATAGAGAGCTTGTCACAATGCAGATTCTGATGCTGCAAGGTCTGGGATGGGGACAGAGATCCTACCGCTCTAACACGCTTCCAGGTGATGATGATGTAGTTGATCTGTGGATCACATTTAAGAAGTAATTCTCAAGTTTCACTTTCCAAACATACACAGCACCTTTCCTGCTGAAGGTCCTAAATTATTTTTTTATTCTGATAGTTACTTAGAGAAAACTCACTGAATGCGAACAATTCTTTGTATGGTACCTAAAACATGCTCAATATATGTTCCTATTTGTACAATTATTTCCAAATCTTTGAATGATATAAGGCAAAATCCAAAAATGTAAAAGTGTAGGAACTGTTTACCAGATTTTGCCTCGAATTCCTACAGATTTATTGTGCCTGAATATATTTCCTAAATATAAACAAATCATAATTCTTAATAACTGACAAAGATAAAGGAAAGCCAGTCTTTAATGTAGGGTGTAGCTATTTTTCATAAAGCAATTAACATTATCTGTATTTAAACAAATGGTTGGCTCTTTAATAGCCATAATACTCATTTGAAGCTCTGGTTCATCATCAAAGTTTTTAAACAATTTAAGAACAAAAGTGTCTCATGTAACATTTCTTATTATAACAATTATCATGCAACACTTAAATGTACTTCAAACATTAAGACTGTCTTTTCTCTGTGCTATTTCTGAACTTGGTACACATGCCCATTGTTGCAGTTGTTATATGATATTACATTGATATACTTTCCCACTATACTCTCAGCACCTTAGGTAGCTGGCACATAGAAAAAGCCACCTAACTGCTAAGAGATTTTTACTTCCGTAGCTAGGTGGCATCCCACATAGACCTGAACAATTTGACTGGCCTTATTTGCATACCTCAAGCTGAGTTTAATCACTTGTTTAAAAGCACTAAGGCACTCACTTAGATTTATGTTTTTAAAAAAGGATGCAATCTAGAAAATGTAAGATGTGTAAAAGATAAAATTCTATGTCCATGGATTGTGAAGCCGAATAACTTCAGGAATCCTGGATACAATAGTGTTTAGGCAGATCAGTCAGCGTGATGATTGTATATATGTAGCAGCACCATCCAGCACAATCCAGAAATAACAGCATGGCCATCACAGTGTCTGCACACAGACTTTGCTTCTCAGTTTAGTCCAATGTGACAACTGAAAAAGATCTCAGAGCCATCCTGATCTTTCCTGTGCAGACACAAGCCAAGATCACACACAATTCACTAGAACAACTAGTTACCCTTCTCAAGTTTCATTTTCCAAACACACACAGCACATTTCCTGCTGAAGTTCCTAAATTATTATTTTTTAATTCTGACCATTACTTAGAGAAAACTTACTAAATGAGAAAAATGATGATGATGTTGATGCTGATGATAATATAAATAATGACATGCTCTGTACCTGAAAGATAGAAAGGTATAAAATGTATGTTTTCCCCTCTAGATGTTATAAAATAGATGACCAAGAAAGTTAATACATAGATATACATAGATGGGAGGGATGAATGATTATGGCATTTATGATGACAATAATAAACAATCAGTTCAGGGGTTGACAGTATTTATATACAGTGATTATATCTTACTTTGTTTTTACAAAATAAGCCTCTTTAAACTGAAGGAGAAATGAGAGCAATTAAGAAACAGAAATCTGCAATCTTTGGTGCATGCTTTAGTCGTTTTCTTAATTTTTTTCCTGAAGTGCAAAGCACAAGGATTCTTCTAGAATACAAATTACCATAAATCCTGGCCTACAAGTGCATGACTAATCTAATTGCAGGCAGAGGAGGATCATTTGCTAATGCTCTCACTAGAGCTCTGTACTAAACGATTTGCTCAGAGAGCAATTGATGCCCCTAGAAAACTTTGAAAAATGTTCTAGTTAGAAACAACTTTGTCCATGTCATATATTTTCTGTTTTTATCTCCATCATTTTTATTCTTTAGGACATTTGGATGAAAATTTCATCTCTTTTGCTTGAGGGTTCATGTGCTCCTGCTTATTCCTCACCTGAAATCATGAGCTCATTGTGACAGTCTAAGATGCCAAATTGGGTGTCACGAAAATCACTGTGCAGAACCCCAACTCCCAGCCAGTATTTATAGAAAAAAGAAGAAGAAAGAAAGTCCAGTCATTTGTCTACAGAACATGAAACTCATTACTTATAAATTATTGTTAATTATATATTGAGATAAATATAGAACCATTCTTTCTACATGCCTTGGAAGTAGGCAAGTTCTTAAAAATTTATTGATGTTCTTAAGATTCAGATGATAAAAAACAATAAATTCCTCTGCATGTGTGCAGCCTTTGAGGTCCTAGAAAAAACTGCAATTACTGTAGAATTGCAAATCCTGAACTTCTGGCCACGAGCATAGCAGCAGCTCCAACCAAGTCTCCCTTATCTACTCCAGTGGTGGGAAAACATTACTGTAACTAATATAGAAAAGCTGCTGACCTGATACAGTGAGCTCCCTCACTGCTGCTTTCCACTTTGCCACACCCACCACTCTCAGGCACCTCAGCTGCTCAGAAACCCCAAAAGTCAGCCCTCAATACTGTTAGTCTCAGAACATCCATACCCAACATCAATCCAGCAGAGCCAAAAATAACAAGTGGAATTGAGGTGGTACATAAATTTGCATACAGGGCTAAAGGAGAGGAAAGACAATAAAATTTGAGCTGATTTCATGAATACATTTGGAATACATTAACATGAATGCCAGAAGGCTATCATTGACCAATATATAAGCATCATAAAATACTTTAAAAAGACTACACAATAATAATTTAATACATTTTCCCCTTCACTATAGTTTTATTTCATAAGGGATAGATTTTCTTGGAATCTCAGTTTGCCAGAAGATTTAGAGCTATTTCAATTGTCAGGTAACATGACTTTCTAGAGATTTTTTAAAAAATAGAGAATAGTGAAATTTAAGTCACCTGGGTGAACATAATTGAGGCTATCAGGAGTTTTGATGGCCAAAGAGAATCTTTGTTAAATTCAGTTTTATTCTTTTACTCATGTGTAAATATTTTAAAATTTGTTTTAATTGATTTTTTTACTTATAATTGATGTTTTTAAAAAGACTTTCATTGGTCAAGCATCCTGCAAATATATAGCAAAGGCTCTCTACTTGCAGAGAAATGCATACACATGAAGACACAAAGCATGGGACATTGTACTGCCCACAAAGGTGGCAGCCTACTTGAATAAATAATAGCATGCACTTTAAACAGTTAAGAAACAATACCAATGTGAAATACTATAAAAATTGTGCTTAGGGCCAGGTGCGGTGGCTCACGCCTGTAATCCCAGCACTTTGGGAGGCCGAGGCAGGTGGACCACGAGGTCAGGAGATCGACACCATCCTGGCTAACACGGTGAAACCCTGTCTCTACTAAAAATACAAAAAATTAGCCAGGTGTGGTGGCGGATGCCTGTAGTCCCAGCTACTTGGGAGGCTGAGGCAGGAGAATGGTGAGAACCAGGAGGTGGAGCTTGCAGTGAGCCGAGATCGCGCCACTGCACTCCAGCCTAGGCGGCAGTGAGACTCTGTCTCAAAAAAAAAAAAAAGAAAGAAAGAAAGAAAAAAAAATAAAGAATATGGCATAGTGCCTGGCACAGAGCCGGAATTCAGTAAATATTAGTTTCCTTTTCCCTTTACTATGGGAGATTAGGGGATATCACAGATGACGGCCCTAAAGTCCACAAACTTACAATCTAATTAGAAAGATGAGACAATGCCTCTAGAGATGAAAAATACATATGACCGTATGAAAAATACATGTGGTGTATTGAATTATCATGTGTATCCCAAAATATGTACATCTATTGTGTATCAATAGAAAAATAAAATTTAAAAAGATGAAAAATGCATGAGGCAATAGTGAAAAGTGTCAACTAAGCATGCAATAGGTTCTACAGGGCTAAGAAGGAGAGAGGATTTTAAACAGATATGATGAGGGGAGATTTTCCAGGATGTGATGGAATTTGGGTGGTATATACATGTAGGTAAATAGTGTTTTCCCTCTCTCTTATATGGTTATACTCACCACACTTCTGACACCAGATGTGTGGAGGTTGTGCCCCCAATACCAAGCAATTCTCCAGCAGCACAGTCTCTGGTGAACCAGCTGGGGATACTCTAATCAATTCAATTCTGACACTATCTACCTGGCTAGATAGTTGAGCCCACAGGTTGAAGATCCAGTCCCAGAAGACTATCCCCCCACATCAGATGCCAGTGGCAAGCACAGGTAGTGAGTGACCTGAGCTTTTGACTTGATACATAAATCAGGGCTCCCATGACCTCCTTGTTGTGTTCAATTAGTTTGCTAGAGCAGTTCACAGAACTCAGGGTAACATTTAAGTTCAACAATTTATTGTAAAGCATATTACAAAAGATACAGATGAACAGCCAGATGGAAGAGGTCTATAGTATGAGGTAGGGGGAAGGGTTGTAGAATGTCCATACCCTCTTGGGTGTTGCCACCCTCTAGGGACCTTCATGAGTTCAGCTATCTGGAAGCTCTCTAAACCTCACCCTTTTGGGTTTTATGGAGGCTTCATTAGATGGGCATGATTGATTATATCATTGGCCATTGGTGATCAGCTCAACCTTCAGCCACTCTGGCCTCCCTGGAGGTTGAAGGGTGAGACTGAAAGTTTCAACCCTCTGATCACATGGTTGGTTTCTCTAACATGCCACAGCAATACACTTTACTTTTCTGAATACTCTTAAAATGCATAATGATTTGCTCAAAGATTTACTCCCTACCTGTTTCCAAAGATGTCAGAAGAACTTCAGAAATGCCTAGGGAAAGAAAAGTTTTCTCAAAATAATTTTGAATAGAAATTTCCAAGTTCCCTATTATGCTATGTATATTTATAAGAAGTAAAGTTTTAGTAGTCTGTGGGGCTTAATATCTAGATGATGAGTTGATAGGTGCAGCAATCCACCATGGCACACATTTACCTCTGTCACATACCTGCATGTCCTGCACATGTATCCCAGAACTTAAAATGAAATAAAATTTAAAAAGCTTTAGTAGTCAAGAAAGACCTTAGAATATTTTCAAATGGTTTGTCAACCACTGGGGGCAAAATCAATTGTACCTTACTCAGTAGCTCCTGTAGGAGAGGATACCTTTCACTTAGCTATTATTTGTTTATAACTGCATACAAACTTAATACATTAATTTAAAATGGAAATATTTAATAATAATGGAATTGACTTCATAGAGTCATTCAACGGATCAAACAAAATGAAGCATGTAAAGAGTTTAGCAGAGTGTCAAGCACATAACATTCATTAAATGTTAGTAATCATTATTATTATCAAAATAGGTTAGTCTTTATTATCATAGCTATTGCAAGGTGGGATTTACACATTCCTGCTAAGATAGTCCCATAATGGAAAATAAGGCCACATTTTGCTTTGATAGTGAATTACATGATAGTTAAAAATTTATCCAACAAACCTTCTTTGAGTGCCTTCTTTGTTGCCAAAGTAGGCACAGAGTATCCAAGGATAAATAAGACCTGTTTCTTGCCCTCCAGAATCTCCCAGTCAATTGGGAGACACATACAGAGATATAATTGAAATTCAAAAGAATAAACATTGTAGGAGAATGCAGAGGAGAGAGCAATTAAATCGGTTTGGGAGGTTTGAAGAAAGAGAAAATGTGATTATTTAATTGAGCCTTATTACAAGAATGAAATTGTGTCACAAAATGGAGAGGCATTTTCAGGCTGGGTAAATATTATGTAAGAATTGGTAAAAGTTGTGTCAGAAAAGAAAGGGCATTTTAGGCTGGGTAAATATCATATGCAGAGAAGTTAAAGTGTAAAAAATGTGTTCTATTAGGGGACAAGTATACCTCTGATTTTTGTTTTTGTCATTTTGGTTTTGAGAGCCTGAGTTATATCATTGAAAATACACGTGACAGATGTTAGGGAATGCATGGATTATGAGGCAGTTCAAATGAATGGTACGTTTAAAAAATTGGTGTTTTTGAAATTGTGGTAAGAACACTTAACATGAGATATACTTTCTTAACACATTTTTATGTGTACAATGTGCTATTGTTAACTACAGGCACAATGTTTTCCAGCAGATATCTAGAACTTATTCATCCTATATAACCAAAAATTTATACCCATTGATTGGCAAATCCAAATTTTCAACTTTCCCCGGCCTCTGATACCACCATTCTATTCACTATTTCTATGAGTTTGACTATTTTAGCTACCTCATATAGGTGGAACCATGCAGTACTTATTCGTCCTTCTGTGACTGGCTAATTTCACTTAGTGTAATGTCCTCCAGGTTTATTCATGTTGTCACATATGGCAGGATTTCCTTCTTTTAAGGCTAAATAATATTCCATTGTGTGTGTGAATATGAGTGTATATATATATGTATATGTCTATATTATATATGTACATTATACATATATATATACACACACACACACATGCTATATTTTCTTTATCCATTCATCTATCAATGGACTTTAGGTTGTTTTCCTATCTTGGCTATTATGAGTAACACTTCAGTGAATAAGGGGTTGCAGACATCTGTTTAAAATCCTGTTTTCTATTCTTTCAAATATATATCAAGAGTGGGATCTTGGTGTAATTCTAGAAATTTTAGTTCATCTTGAAGTGAAGGAAAAAACATAAGTTTTTAAAATGAAAGAGTTATTAGATCAGATCTGTGTTTTCAAAAGAAACATGGTGGGCAGTATAGAGGATAGGTTGGAGGTAGGCAAGATAGAAAGCAGAAAGACCATTCTGGGTGTGGTTTTAGTAGATCAATCAGGAAAGGATCATAACCTAAACTAAATCAGTAAGAGTAGTAACAAAGAGCAAGGGATGTTGACTAGTGAGGAGTAAGAGACAAGGGAAAATACTTCAGGGGAACTCACAGCATTCTAACTGAGCAATAGTGAAATGGTGCTAACATAGATCAGAGATGCTAGAAGAAAATATGATTTAAGAGAAAATATGTTATTAGACAGGTGTGGCCAACTGCTGTAACACACAATGTGAAAAGTTCAATGGCTTAACAAAGTAGGATAATGTCTTACTTGTTTAAGCCCAATTAGTAAGGATGGAATGTTTCGGCTCCCCACAGTGATTGAGAGATCCAGGCATCTTCCACCTACAGTCCAGCCATATCTTAGAGCCACACACTTCTGTTGGATTCTTAACATCCAGCAGACAATATGGAAGTAGAGAATGGAAGGTAAATGTAAGTTTTGTGGGCCAGGCATAGAAATGATGTACATAACTTTTATCAACACTTTGTTACCCAAACCACCACCTGGCTACACCTAATTGCAAGGAAGGCTGAGAAATGTGGTCTGGAGACACAACCAGGAAAAAGAAGAAAAAAATAATAATTTGGTAAAAAAAAATTCAGTTTCTGACATAGGACATTTAAGGGATGATATCCAGAAAGCAAGTGAACCTCTGGAATTCGAGAGAAGTCCTGATTGGAGATAAAGATTCAGAAATCATAACTGTGCAGATGGAATAGATAGCATAGTCAGGGGACAGTTTGTACCATATGAAAATAAGGCACTATTACAAAGGTGTCCATTTCACAGGGACTGGATATGAAAATTACCTAAGTTTATGATATAGCAATTATTCATCCTTGTTTTCTGGGTCATGGTCTTTTGGAGACCAGAGAAGTGTGACCAGATGAGGACATAAATGAGTGTTTGTGTCCCTGATACACCTATCAGTCGATTGATCAATTAATCATTCAACAAATCCATCTCTACACTTACATATTGAATGCCTGGTAAGGGAACGATGCTCTACTGGTGAGTTGGTATCTGGCTAACAAGCCTTTGTGGAACTTACGTTCTTGCAGGGGAGACAGCATAAAAACAAATTACTCAATCATTTATATAATTTTAATTGTAATAAAAGGAACAAATCAGAATTACAGGGTGAGATGAAAGTATAGAGGAACAGCTGGTCTTCAGGGACAAAGGAGGCTTATGAAAGCGTTTTATAAGAGCCAAAAAATAATTACGTTACGAACACTTTCCCTTACAGAAACAGCTGATAAGGGGAAAGTGTAAGACCCTCATGCAAACAATTATATCAGAAAATGAAATGCTAAAAGTCCCTCTAAGAAAAATACACATAAAGTGCTTTTTAAGTATCTGGAATGGAGAAGAAAGATGTCTAAATAAAAAGCTTTGGTCTTTACACTGTGCCTCCAAGGGTGACCACGAGTTGGAAGTGTGGTGAGGCTAATCTTCCAGGGACAGAAAGGCTAAGGCTGAGGACAGCTGTGGGAGGTGGGACAGAATGGAAAATGCTTAGGGAATAAGTCCACTCAAACCTATGGAGTGTGGAAGAGGAAGGCAGCCAATTGGAAAGATAATTTGGGAACAGATAATAGAGGGTAGAATTTGAGTAAAGAGACTAGCTAAAGAAAACCAACCTGAAGGCTATTTTAATCACCCACAAAAGAGGTGATGTATGAGTTGGTTATTGGCAGTGGCCATGAAGGAATGGAGGGGGACAGATTTGAGTCAGAGGAATCAGAAGCAATAGAACTTGTCACTTTTTCAATAAATATTAATTTAGCACCTAATATGAATCAAATACTGCTAGATGCTGGGGCCTAAGCTCTCTTCTTTCTCTCATTAATGCTTCAGGAAAGAAAAGGATGTCCAATACAGATTTCATACAGTACATTTTTCCCTGCATAGCCTTTTGGAGATTCGTTACTGTTGCTCTTCAAATCTTTTTAATCCATGTATCTTACAGTTACTTTCCTTTTACCAATCTGTCTGAAAATAGCATGTTGTTTTACTGAGAGGTGAAATAATTCCAAGGACTAAATATGCTGCGGTTCACAGGTACATAGCTAGGTACAGCCATGTCACACTATATACATGTTATCTTGGCCTAACAGACTTTATATCTGCACAAACTGTGAACTGGCAGTTGGTATTTATATACAGCCTGTCCCCCAGGGATGACCCATGGGCATGCAAGTCTTCCAGAGCTGGCAGCCCTCTTTGAATGCTGATAGTGTAATGTGTTTTTATAGAAACATATCCTAATGTGTGTTTCAAACTTGGAGCTATCTGTCTATGTACTCCTTCATTTAAAATAAAACACAAAGATGTTTAGCTGTGCAAACAGGAAAGGTGCTTCCAAATAGGTTTCAATTTGGGCCATTCTCCATAAATCTCCTCTGGTTTCTTTGCTTTCTGTTTTCAAAAGGAAAAAAAAAGCTATTGGAGTGCTAGCATATTACAGTTTTTGTTGGTTATTCACAGTGTGAAATGAGCATCACTAAATAAAGCAACTGCCAAATAAATGCATTCTGGTTACAAAGAGAACCCACTGTAAAACTAAAATCTTAAATCTAATTAAGGAATTTCCAAAAGCCATATCTTTGAAACCTTCCAACAACAACAAAAAAAAATACATTTCAGCTGGGACTTGTGAATTGCGAGCTTTGTACATAAAAGAAACAACTTGTTCTAAAGCTGAACTTCAGTAAATTACAGAGGCGGTGTGTCTTTCATAACCCCATTACGAGGGAACGTTCCTCTGCTAAACCCTTTGGGTAGCAAGCTCTGCAAGCAGTGCTCCTGGCCAGTGGGTTCTCCTGTAAGGGATTAGATAAATATCATGCACAGGCTGAAGTCACTGTTTTGCTTTCAATCATCAAAACTGGAAATTAAAATGGTTACTCAAAGTGGCTTGTACATGAATAACTGGAAAATGTAGGTCCAAAAGGTGTATTTTAGCCATAGATTATCTTCCATGTGAGTGTACCTAGCTGCTTGCAGTGTGTACATATTTTCTAAATTTAAGGGGGAAATCAAGCTGAAACTAGAATGACAAAGAAAGCTTCTCTGTGCTGTTCTGGAAAAAAAGAATCTTAGTATGTTTCTGCATGAACAAAGAACTTTTTTTCTCATTCTTTCTTGTATCTATTTTAAAAGGTATGAAGACAAAGGAAAATTTCAGAACATTTTCTAATAGTACAAAATGGTCATCGCTTGGAAAAAAATAAAGAAAATAAATCTATTTCTTGTCACACTCCCTAGGCTATGTATCTCTATACATGTGGACAACTGTTAATCACCAAATATCCAAATGGGAAAAAACATGCATCCAACTAGATAATCTTTATTTGATCTGCAAAATGATACTAATATTTGACATTCATAAAGCAAAATATACAAGTGTCATTTTCTCTTTTCAATTGTGTATTTTACTATGTAACTGTAACTAAAGAAAGTATAATAATCTAGGACACATTGCCATAAATTTCACTTTTGCAATAATACTTTACATTGTGTGAGGGCAGGTAGCTGGAAATGGGTTTGGGTCCCTGTAATATAGATAATAACTCAGTTCTGCATTTTACTTGCATAGATGTGCATAAAATAAAGCCTTAGTGCTATACAAGGTCATGAGGTATTGGCTCCAAAGACTTAAAATATTTTTCAATAATCTTTTTTTCATATATACAACTTTATTTAAAGAAATATTACTGGAAATTATTTTACTTTTTATTTTATCATATTTTGCATTTTTAAATGCTATACATATTATTCTTGACAACTGAAGAGTCAGAAAGTCTTTGTTAATTGCATCTAATGTATGTTTGCCATGGACATATGCTTGTGTGCATATATTTATACATGTGTTCATATGTATATGTACAGCTATATATACATATGTATATAATTTATATGCACATGTATACACCTGCATACACACATTATTTACTAATAAACACAGACTCATATGAGTGCTTTGTTGAGTTCATGTGATCAGCAGCCAATATGCTTAGCTTGGCCTTTTTTCTCTTTTTAAACAAAGAGCCACATTTGCCTCTGGCCACACTATGCACTCTGTGGAACATACGCCCAACTTCAAAAGGACCATGTAAGCGATGAGCTTTTAAACCTAGGCAGAAGGCATATGCCTACATGCCTTAAGGCACAGGGAGGTCAACCAATGCCCTTATGGTCACACAGAAGGTGTATCGCTGTGATCAAACTATCAGTGAAGCGTTTCAAACTACCTAGTCTCTGTTACTTCTGTTCATATGGATGAATGTAAATCGCTATAAAAAGCTCATGGGTTAAGCAGGTGGCTCCTGGAGCTAATGTTCAATGATAGTTAATACTCGTTACCCTTAATTGAGTACTAGACGCCAGCCCCTCTCACATTATATACCTATTTAATCCTTACAGTCCCATTAAACAATATGTGTTAGTGTTATTTCCATTTATTGATGATTTTTATCTCTATTTAATCCTTGTCATACCTCTATGAGATATGTACTCACATTATTCCCATGTTATAAATTTAAAAACCAATGCTTACAGAAGTAACTTACACACAGTGAACAGCAAAACAAGGATTGGAGGCAAGGTTTTGGTGTCTCCAAAACTTATTTCTGCCTTTAAAAATTTTAAGTGGTTACTATTTATTGAACACTTAAGATGTCCCAAGCATTGTGCTAAACACTTGCACGTACTACCTCAATGATACTAATCACACTATGAGGTCGAGATTTTCAATGTTCTCATTTTACAAATGACAAAATTGACCCATGGAGCCCTCTTAAACCCTACAGACTCTGCCTCTCTCACAGAATTTGTATATACCTGCTTCATCAGAGCTGCAGACAAAAGCAGAAGGCACATTACAGAGCACAGTTAGAACTCAATCTATAAATTTCTGTTGAATTACTAGTACTCCAAGTCACTTTACTTTCTATGAGGGCCACTGATAATCTACATTTAAATAATCTTAAGCAAGAGGCAAATCCCTCAACCAAAATTGATGGTGAAATCTAAGCTGCAGATCATCTTTCACAATCAACACATGGGTGCATTTTACAATATAAATCTGTGTAGATCACAACATTGCTCACGTCAAGCTAATATTTCATGCTTTATATGAAAATTGTGCATAGCTGCATCTGTGGAGGCAACTGAAACCATGGAGATGGGTATGCTTTCCCTCCCAACCTTGCCCATTAAGATCCTTCTGCTTTAAGGTATACAAATACCTAGCCAGGCACTGTACTAGGTACATGTATACCTTAAGTGCTTTTCATGGCACTTAAAAGCCATGAAAAACCTTTGTGTCTTTCATTGTCTTCAAACCAGAGCTTCCTCCCTGAGTATAACTAAGTGCCCACTTAGGAAAATATGTTGAGTTCTGTGCTGCTGCTGCTGATGAAGGAAGCAGCTTCCATGTTTGTCTGATTACGCTGTTATCCCTCCAAACCCCATTTACTAGAGGCCCCAAGCCAGGGTTGCTCAGCCCATCCTCCATACAGCTTCTGAGTTCTCAGCAATGCCTGTACAATGGCATTGCAGTCTTCTACTGGTTTTTCACCAGGAAGTGGAGCTGCATAGTCAAGTTTTTGGCTGAGTTCACACTCTGGCCGCGGCCAAGGCCTGGGGCTTTCCCAGAGCTGAGTCTTATAGTCAAGCACTACAAGCACGTCTCCCCAGGGCTCTGTAGTTACAGTTGGAGTCCAGCACTGCATGCTGCCCTACTTCCATCAAGAGAGGCATCTACACTAGCAAAGTGTGGCTTGGTTTTACCCATCCATCCATGAAATAGGAATATGCCAATTGGCCACATGACATATGAAAGCTGAACTCCAGAAAAAAATCCCATGTTCAGTGACTTTACCTTCCCAGGAGAAAGATGCCGGCTGTGATTCCTAAATTCACCATTGTCTTGTTGACTAGCTTCCCAGACTTAAGCAGTTACTAAGGACCTGATTATAAAAGTTCATGACTCTTCTTTTCTTGCTTTCACACACCCAATGCTCCCATTCCACAAAATAAAACTAATTATGCTTGACTTTACTTTGGATACAATAATAATATGTTGACTACTCCTGAGGCCATTTGTCCACTGTAAGGTAATAGATTCCTTAATCAAGAAAGTGAGAAAGAACTGATGTTGCGAGTGTACACAGATGGCACATGTGTATCACTTTTCCTATATAACCACATATATCCAGCTTCAGTGTCCAGTGAGATACTAGAGCAGACTCCTGCATCCCCCCGCCCAGTCTCACCCATCTGAGATTGCCAGATTATACAAAAAGCTGGAATTACCTCCCATTATGTCTACTTCCAAAACCTAGAAGATGAAGTCTCCAGCAGCCCATTTTTTAAAATAAGTATTTATATTTTGAAACCAAACAAGACTAACCTTAAAGCCCCATTCTGTGACATAAAATGTATCATCATTTTAAGATCTATAGTACCTGTGAAAACTAGTTTATATGCCTTTTTCGGTGACCCAAAAGAGAGCAAAAACAGTTCAAAAAAACATGTTATAAGCATCAGTTGCTCATTCTGCAAAAAAAAAAAAAAAAAAAAAAAAAATCCCAAACAAACAAGCAAAACAAAAAGCTACCATAGAATAAGCCTCAAAAGTGTGGCATCTTATGTGCCCTTAAGTGAAGGTTGGTTTGACTACCACTCTTCAGGATGATTAACTCCATTCATTCAATGAATATTTATTAGGTACCTATTCTGCTCCTGACTTGCTAGACTCATGGTGGAGGGAAAAAAAGAAGGCACATAAGTGATTCCTGCATTTAGGGACCAAAGTCTAAGAAGGATATTGGCATGAAACAAATAATAGCTCCTATTATTTTTTTAGCTCTTACAGCATAACAGATATTGAACCTAGCATAGATTATCAAATTTAATTCTCACAAACACCTGCAAAACAGATAGTCCTAGCCTCATGCAGGGATAAGAAAACTGAGGCTCAGAAAGTTTATGTGACTCTTGTCCAAGGTCACTCAGCTAGAAAGTAGCAGCACCTAGGTTTATCCTCCAGTCTGTCCAGCTCCAGGCTCACATTTGTCCTCCTATACCAGAAGGGCAGTGACGGAGGTGAATGCATATTTCTATGGAAATACAGCTTGACGATTAGCATGATTTCTTCTTCTAAGTGCTATATCCACTTTCCTTCCCAAGACTCCAAGGACATTGAGTTGACTAAGCCTTCCCTCCAGCACATCCTAGGGAAAAATTCAAGCCAAAGTCCTTTGATGAATAAAGTCAAAGGAATAATCAATAGTCCTTCTAGCTTCTGTCACTAACAGTGAGAAGCATAGGTGAAGCCATGGTCACAAAATAGTTAAAGAAGCCTCCTCCCACCATTCCTCACAATCTTTCTTTCCCACTTCGGCTTGGCAGAATGGCTCCCACAAAGAAAGGTGGTGAAAAGAAGGGTCGTTTTGCTATCAGTGAGATGGTGACCTGGGAATATACCATCAACATTCACAAGCACATCTCTAGAGTGGGCTTTAAGAAGCTTGTCTTTCAGGCACTCAAAGAAATCTGGAAATTTGCCATGAAAGAGATGGGGACTCCAGGTGTGTGCATTGATACCAGTCTCAACAAAGTTTTCTGAGCCAAAGAAATAAGGGATGTCACATACCATATCCATGTGAAGTTGTCCAGAAAACATAAGAAGATGAAGATTCACTAAACATAGGTAAATATTGGTTACCTATGTGCTTGTCACCACTTAAAAAAATCCATACGCAATCAGTGTGAATGAAAACTGTTGATTGTTAAAGTTATAAAACGGCAAAAACAAAACAAAACAAAAAAAAAACGCAGTTAAGGGAACATCCATTTAACATTGACCACCTAGTATGTAGGAGCTAAACAATAAACAGTTGTTGGTACCAAAAAAACCAATGTCGCCAGTGGGCTTGGGCATGGTGAGGGCATGTAAAAAACTAGAACAACCAGGTGCAGTGACTTATGCCTGTAATTCCTACATTTTGGGAGGCCGAGGCAGGTGGATCACCTGAGGTCAGGAGTTTGAGACCCACCTGGCTAACATGGTGAAACCCTGTCTCTACCAAAAATTCAAAAATTAGCCAGGCATGGTGGCGCGTGCCTATAATCCCAGCTACTCAGGAGGCTGAGGCAGGAGAATTGCTTGAACCCAGGAGGCGGAGGTTGTGGTGAGCCGGGATCACGCCACTGCACTCCAGCCTGGGCGACAAGAGCAAAACTCCGTCTCAGAAAAAGAAAAAAAAAAAAATTGAACAACCCTTTTATTTCTGTGCTAGACAGGGCACAGTCCAGGCTACCTGGTGCATCAAATACCTCTGACCTCCAGAGCAACACGAGCAGCTGAATTTCAAAAATAAAAAGTGGACAGAGAATAAGCACAGCTGCTGACACAAATAACCTGATGTCTGGGTCCTAGCTCATGCTACACATATGGCCAGCCTGGCTATTCTTTCTCTCATCTTGGCCCTGACAACAGTTGGGAAATTATGGTCCCCTTTTCTGTTTTGCATATTCATAGAAAATATCTGTATTCTAACCTGCCCAGCTACAGTTACTTCCTCTGTAACTCCTTCCTATCCCTATCATTGTAAATTAAGTTAATTCAGCAAAGAAGTTAACAGGAAGGAAGAGAGAGAGAGAAATGAGAGAGACTGAGAGAGGGAGACATGGATGAAGGAGACGGAGGAAGAAAGAGAAAGAAAGAAGGAAAGAGGAAAAAGGAAACAGGAAGGAAGGAAGGAATTGGAAGGGGAAGGGGAAGGGGAGAGAAGGGAAGGGAGGGGAGGGGAGGGGAGGGAAGGAAGGGAGGAAGGGAAGGAGGGAGGGAGAGAGAGAAAGAGAAAGAAAGGAAAAGAAAGAAAGGAAGGAAGAAGGAAAGAAAGAGAAAGAAAGAAAAAGAAAGAAAGAGAAAGGAAGGAAAGAAAAAGAAGAAAGAAGGAAGGAAAGAAAGAAAGAAAAAGAAAGAAAGAAAGAAAGAAAGAAAGAAAGAAAGAGAAAAGAAAAGAAAGAAAGAAAAGAAAGAAAGAAAGAAAGAAAAAGAAAGAAGGAAAAGAAAAAGAGAGGCGTGGTGGCTCACGCCTGTAATCCCACCACTTTGGGAGGCCAAGGCGGGCAGATCACAAGGTCAAGAGATCAAGACAATCCTGGTCAACATGGTGAAACCCCGTCTCTACTAAAAATATAAAAATTAGTTGGGCCTGTAATCCCAGCTACTCGAAAGCCTGAGGCAGGAGAATCACTCGAACCCAGGAGGTAGAGGTTGCAGTGAGCCAAGATCATGCCACTGCACTCCAGCCTGGTGACAAAGCAAGACTCCATCAAAAAAAACAGAAAGAAAGAAAGAGAGAGCGGGGGAGGGAGGGAGGGAGAAAGGAAGGAAGGAAGAAAGTCTGCCATCATAATCCTCCAGCACATTTCCTTTGTGTAGGGCAAATCCATGTTTATTTATCTATAAACTAGCAACTAGGGATTAAAATTTTAGCTACCTCCTTTTTTAACACCTGAATCACTAGGGGTACAGGATTTCATTTAACTTGGTCTGTTTTGTGAAATGCAGAAAGATGATTTTGGAAAAAACTAATATAAGCATTTTTTTAAAGTGTCTAGACTGCTACTTAAAAAGTAAAGGGTAACAGTTAAATGGGGCATGAGCTCCTGAAACTGTCTTTGATTTAAATAAAGTGAAGAGCAACAAGAAATGGGTTTTAGGTTCAATCTGTGGCCTGGGGAAAAAAAAAGTTGGTGGGGGGGGGAGTGAATTATGGCCAAACTATCAATGGGCACCAATCTGTCTCACTTTTTCAGACCATTTGAAATGGTCATAGGTCATAAAATAAATTATTGTTATTTTTAAAAGGGAATTAACGCCAGGCACAGTGGCTCGTGCCTGTAATTCCAGCAATTTGAGAGGCCAAGGCACGCAGATCACCTGAGATCAGGCGTTTGAGACCAGTCTGGCCAACATGGTGAAACCCTGTCTCTACTAAAAATACAAAAATTTATCACGGTGGCACAATCCCAGCTACTCGGGAGGCTGAGGCAGGAGAATCTGCTGAGGCCGATTGGATGTTTGATAGGCAGGCACACACAGCACAGTTTTAACAAGCAATTTATCCCCTACTGTGCAGGTCCCTCCCCAGGTTCCTTATAGGCTGAGTACTATGAGGTTACAATTTTCCCGGACTTCGCCTATTGATTGTTGGGTAGGGTCTTTAGATGTTTTTTTCAGGGTTGTTTTGCTGTATTTTGCTGCAGCCCACAATACATTGCAATCCTAGTTAACTAGGGGGCTCTTCAAGTATTTGACTTATGACCTAAGTAGCTGGGCAGGCTGATAAGATCAGACAAAGCAAGCTATTTTGCAAACTAGTAAACTTTCATTTTAAACTAAACTTTTTTGGTTTGGGTGAGGGCAACTAAGGCTGACAAGCAGGCTTTGGCTATCCAAGCAGGAGCCTAGTATATTCTGTTTTTTCTGGTAGTTTGCTGACCAAAGCTGACTGAAGGCACTTTGTCTTGGAAATGGACCATTGTATATATTATTTCCTTCAATTCCCTCGTCTTTTTTTTTTTGACCCCTATTGGTCCCATTTCCACATTTATTTTTGTGCCCTTTGGTTCTTACATTTATTAGGCACTCCTTTAGGGACATCTATTGATGTTAACATAAATGTTGGGGTTAAAAGAATTTGTTAGATTTCTCCAGCTTTGGTAGCCATGTGGATTTTTGGGGATCTTATGGAATGCCAAGGTGAATGGAATGGCCAATTGAACTAAGGCACAAGTCCCTGTCCAGTTGGACAGTAACAGGTCACAGAGGCTCCTCTTCCCACAATACCACCAGACATTAGCCCGGGGTATATGAAGAACCAAGTAGTTGCCTTTGTTTGACTCACCAGCAACGTTTAAAATGTGGATACAAGTTGAGAGTTTTCCCACGGGCCTATTGAACTTTGCTCCCTGCCTAAAGAGGCAAGAGGAGTGGTTCATATTCTCTGTGGAGAACAAGGGGATTGCTTTAGGATCTGACCTTCGCAAGGTGGGAAAGAGCAATAATAGACTTTTGCAGGTTTTATTTCCCCATGCATCCCTGTCCTGTTATAGAGCCTACATGCAACATATTCCTTTGGGATGGGTATCACATTCTAGGGGAAATAGAACTACCTGTGTCTGAGTCTGCCCAGCAGAGCATGCATAACAGTCACTCTTATCAAGAGCTAGTATAGAAAATTTGACCCATTTAACCCAGGCATTTATATCCCCATATCCAGTCTTAATTTCTAAAGTTTCCCTCAAGTTAGTTACCTTAATTATTTTCACTTTCTTAGGGTCATTGTATGGTGGGTTAAAGAAGTAGTGGGACTGGGAGTTACAGTAATCCTGGTGTGCTTAGGGTGGAGTTGGTAACCAGTCTAAAAGCTAACTGTCCCACTGGAGGAATTCCTTCCTGAGATATCTATTCCTAATACATACCTCCAAGGTTCCTGGTCTAGAGTAGCTGGGTTGTTTACAGTAATTAATATAGGATTGCATTCTAAATTTCTATAGTTAAGTGCCATGGGGCCCTCATATTTGATTCTTTAAGGGTTTGTTTTTGGAAGAATGACTCACCCAGCCTCAATATTGTGTGGTCCACCAGACCTGATTCCAGCTAGCACAGGGCTTTTCTGAGAGGGTCAAATAACGGTCTGTTTTAGGATGTAGATATTTGTTTGCTTGTGACAACTGCCTTTAGTTCTCTAAATTTCCACAAGGTAAGACTTGGCAGGCATTAAATTTTATAGTTTGGAGCAGGTGGAGGTCTTAGCTGTGTTGACTATTGGTTTGATTCGATATTCCCTACTTTTCACCCCTAATACTGGGCCCTATCCAGTACTTAGGTCTCCTTTCACACCTTGTGTTAGGATTCATCCTAAGCATATTTACCCCCAGTGACATAGCCTGCTCATAGCATCCTCTTAGGTTTTCCTTAGAGTTAGCATTAAGGGTTCCTTACCTGATATATACACTCTCCATTTACCCTTCTCCCTTCCTTCTGGGGGTTCTTTTACCAGTCTCTTGACCCGAGTGTCATGTGTCCACCCCCGGTTCAGCTGTTCGTACGGCCATTTCAGTGATTAGGAGCACTTGATGGGGACCTTCCCAGCTTGGGTGGAGCTTATCACCAGGCTGGAAATGGTAAACTTGAACTTAAGAGGCGGGGTTTGAGTTAGAAGTTCTTTTAACCTAAGGGATGACAGGGTGGAGGATATGGCCAGTATATTATCTCTTCAAAATTGCTTTTTGGTTTTCATAGTAGGAAGGTCAATAGTCCTGCCTAAATACGGGAATGCTTTGAAATGGCCTTAACCCAGGAGGTCTTCCTTCGGTAGTCTGTTTTCTAACTACCTTTTTGTTTATTCTCTGGCAGGTTACTCAATCCCCGCACACTTGTTTAGCAAGGGTATAAATCTCTATACACTCATAGTTCTTGACTATTGCATCACACATGGCTTGGGGACCCCAATGACTTCCCTTATGCAGTATGGACATTAGTTCTCTTATTATGGGTTTGCTTATTATTTTTCTTCCATTAGGGAGCACCCATCTCCTGTCCTTAGTTTGAGTGGCCCCTACCTTGCCCAGCTTTTCCTCCTCCTCTTTAGAAAATTGGGGTTTTAATACCACCTTAGGGATGTTTGGGATTAGGTTAAACAATTTAACTTTTTCCTCCAGGGAGGCTTGCTTAGCAGCTTTATCCACAAGCCTGTTTCCTACAGCTTCTATAGTGTTTCCTTTTTGATGGCCATTTACATGGAACTATGGCTATCTCTGCTGGAAGCAAGAGGCTTTTTAAAAACTTGTTTGACCAGTTTCCCATGTACCAATTCTTTCCACCTGCTATTTATTAGGCCCTGCTTTGTCCAGATTTTTCCAAAGGTGTGTATTATTCCATAGGCATATTTGGAATTAGTATATGTAGTGACTTCTTGGCCTTCTAGGAGCTTTAGGGCCTGGTTAAGAGCATATAATTTACAGGTTTGGGCTGACCAGTTATTGGGTAATTTATCTTTTTTACATAAGGATTGTTTGTTTTTATTAACAACAGCATAATCATTGTGTTTTTTTTACCATCTATCACTTGGGATGACCCATCCACAAACTGCCTGATTCCATTATGTAGTGGAGTTTCTTTAAGGTTTGATCTAACTTTAGTTTGATATTCTATGATATTTTAAGTTATGGTTTGGTGCCTTTTTATTCTCTCCTTTCCATAAGAAACTGGCTGGATTTAGGTTAGGAACCTTCCCAGGGCCCACTGACCCCAGGAGGAATTTGGGGAGGCAAGGGACTGACCAGCTGGACTCCCAGGATGCCTTTAGCCCAGCTCTGCTGGGTCTGACTCTGGGCCAAGAACTGCTGTTTTGAAGAGCTGCCAGCCTGTGGCACCTTCCCTGATGGGCACTCTTATCAGCAAAGGCATCCCTGGCTCCGCCCTCCCTTCCTCTTTCTTTGCTTCGAAGGCACCATCCATCTCTCTGGAAGGCCAAGAGCTGCACTGTTTCTATTCCATGCCACCCCTGCTGGTGACCTGGCAACTGCAAAGGGTCTCTGGTTTGTCCAGCTCTGGGAGGGGACTAAGTGGCTTTTCCTCCTCTTCAGCTGCAAGGATCCTACCCCGGCCCAGCCCGGCTCTGGGATACAGAGCTTCCATATATCCCACCTCAAAGCATCTTGGCAGACTTCTCCCCAGCAGATCTCTCTCTACTTCAGGGATTGCAAACTGGGAATTTCTGCTCAGCTGGCAAGATTCCTTGCCCGGGAGGATGCTATCTCTCCCAATTGGTCATGGCTGCCCTTCTAATCATTCCCCTCTCTTCCCCAGTAAACAAAATATTCATGATTGACATTATCTTAGCCGAAGTATAAAAACTGAGTCCTAAAAATTGATCTAGCTGCTTTGCTAATCTGAGAGAATTTCAAGAGTGGCCTCATTTCTTTTTTAAAATTCCTAACCTCAGTACTTGTTAGAGGTGCACTCACAAATCCATCCCCTCATGGGGACTTCTCTAAGAGGGTACCTGTTAGATATCTGCTGTTTAGAAGCAATAGGGAAATTCTTAATGTTCTTCTTACATTGCTCTAATTATTTCCTCAATTTTGGATAAGGATTTAGGGAAGCATTGGGTTTAGCTCCTTCACAAGCCCCGTATTTCTCTTCCTTTGGCCTTCTTGTTGCCCCTTGATCTTCCTGTCCCCTACTTTCTGAGATGTATGGGGGCAAGCGTGTTAGGGGATTCCAGGGCTTTTCACTGGGCGAAGGCGCTTTACTATGCTCTTTTCTTCCTTTTTAAGGGGGAACATGGGAGTTAATCCACCAATCCAACAAAGCATAACTCATCTCCTCTTATGAGAATGGGGTTTTATTATTCACATAGAGAATTAAAGCTTGGCATACCTCATCTGAGCCAAACTTAGGCTGAAAGACTGAAGGCTGACAAATGGGCTCTTTGGGCCAGATAAAACGCAATACTTTAATATCTTTTGCTTTTCCTTGTCCCTGGTTTGAGGATTATCCCTTCAAACCTGCAACATTTCTCCCCAGTGGACTATCTGGGAGAATGTCACAAGGGGTCTTTTTAGTTCCCTCTTTCTTTTGTTCCCTAGACCTAGAATTTCTGGTTCCCATTTTCAGTTAGTCTCTGTATCTGAGCTTTACCCTCTGTACTTAACTCCCTTACTGGAGATTTCTTGCACACCTCTTTGTATTCAACCTCCCTGACTGGCGGTTTCTTGCACATCCTGAGTCCTCCAAAAATGTCCAACCACCAAGGCAGTACATACAGTCCAATTTTCCTACCTTGGCTAGTGCATGAGGTTGCCTGGTTACTGCAGTGCCTGCTTTTCTCCCTGTGTCACTTCCGTTGTCTCCTGAATAACAGTTTCGGGTTTCTCTATGGCTTTTGTGGGGAGCCGGGACTTCCAGAGAGAGCAGGCCACATAAACCAAGTGGGATGCATCTCCCCTCTCAGTCGGAGCTTCACTCCACGCAGGCACAGAGATCCCCGTGTGGGCCATCGGGTTGTGAAAAACAAACTCACCCGTCCAAACTCAAAAATGGACTCAGACCAGAGAACAGCGAAAGTGAGACTTTAATGATGGTCTTGCAAGGTTGGGTGTTTAGTAGCACACGCAGCACAGTTTTAACAAGCAATTTATCCCCTACTGCTCAGGTCCCTCCCCCAGTTCCTTATAGGCTGACTACTATCGGGTTACAATTTTCCCGGACATGCCTATTGTTGGTTGGGTAGGGGCTTCAGATGGTTTTCTGGGGGAATGTCTTGCTGCATTTTGTTGCAGCCCACAATGCATTACAATCCTAGTTAGCTCAGGGGCTCTTCAAGTATTTGACTTATGACCTAAGTAGCTGGGCAAGCTGATAAGAACAGACAAAGGGAGCTATTTTGCAGGCTGATAAACTTTCATTTTAGACTAAACTTCTTTGGTTCAGGTGAGGGCAACTAAGGCTGACAAGCAGGCATTGGCTATCCAAGCAGGGCCTAGTATATCCTGTTTTCTCTGACTAGTTTGCTGACCTAAGCCAATTTAAGGCATTTTGTCTTGGAAACGGAGCACTGTATGTATTATTTCCTTCACTTAGTCACAGATAATATTTAATGTAAACCAGTGAAAGACTATGACTTTGTGTGCAGATGATCTAAAAGCTTTGACAGTTTTGAATTGAGATTCCCTTGGCAGAGAATTTTATTGAAGGGTTATGCCTACTGAGGTGAACATAAAGGTCTGGAAGCCAGAAGTCATAACATCTGAAGGGACAACTTTCTATTTTTACCAATAAGTCATATCTATATTATTTTGGTACCTACCACTTAAGAGGCAACTAAAAGCTACCAATATATAGATAAAAAGACAGAAGAGATAGCTAGATAGATAGCTAGATAGATAGATAGATTGATTGATTGATTGATTTTGGGAGGAAGGGTGTCTTTTTTTGGTTTGTGTTTTGGCAAGCTAGTGCTAAAATCAAATGTGAAAGCAATTCAGTTAAGACTGTTGAGCATTACTCTGGTGAGTACTAAATACAATACACGTGGTTCTTGCCATGAAAACAAGTGATTTATATTGATTTTTTTTCAACAGCTCCAAAGAATAATGAACTCTTTCTAGTGTCATGTGGACTTCTCTGTTTCTATTTATTTTACAGAGGTCTTCACATGTTCTGCTGTGTCTGGCAATATGTGTTGATGGGTTGATTTATTCATCTTGTTTTCCAGTTTGTAATGACAGCTTTTAAATTAAGATACAGTTTTAAAAGGTGGTAAATAAATGGATAAGGAAGCCCCAGTAGACAGAAATAATGCTATTCAAGATCCCAGCATGAAAACCCCTCCCTGAGCTATTCTGCAAAACCAATATGAATAATCTTTAAAAGTTCCTCACATCCTGTTTCACCTAGCCTAAAACGTAATTTAATGGAATGATTCTACAAATGGAATGGACTTACTATTCCCAGCTGGCATCCATGAAAAGTAAAAATCTCCATAGAGTTTCAACTAAAATGTCATCAGATGATTAGAGTGAATACTCACAGGCTAAAAATTTACTCACTGTTTGCTACAGGAAAGTGTTTTTTTGTTTGTTTTGTTTGTTTATTTTTTTGAAACAGAATCTTGTGCTGTCGCCCAGACTGGAGTGCAGTGGCACAATATCGGCTCACTGCAACCTCCGCCTCCTGGGTTCAAGCAATTCTCCTGCATCAGCCTCCTGAGTAGCTGGGATTACAGGCACCCACCACCATGACCGGCTATTTTTGTATTTTTAATAGAGACGGGGCTTCACCATGTTGGCCAGCCTGGTCTCAAACTCATGACCTCGGGCTAACCACCTGATATGGCCTGACAAAATGCTGGGATTGGGATTACAGGTGGGAGCCCGTGCCCAGTGAAGAAAGTTGTTTTTACTAATTTCTTTTTTCTTTTTTTTTTTTTTTGAGACGAAGTCTCGCTCTGTCGCCCAGGCTGGAGTGCAGTGGCGCGATCTCAGCTCACCGCAAGCTCCACCTCTTGGGTTCACGCCATTCTCCTGCCTCAGCCTCCCGAGGAGCTGGGACTACAGGCGCCCATCACCACGCCCGGCTAATTTTTTTGTATTTTTAGTAGAGACGGGGTTTCACCTGTTAGCCAGGATGGTCTCGATCTGCTGACCTCGTAATTCGCCCGCCTCGGCTTCCCAAACTGCTGGGATTACAGGGGTGAACCACTGTGCCCGGCCGTTTTTAATAATTTTTTTTCCCATTTGACATAGTTTTGTTTTCCTGCGTGTGTCTTTTCAGAGTGGCTTTAACAATAGCTCAGGCTCCTGGAAATGAGGTTTAAAAAGTAAGATGGCTTGGAAATGCAAGACGTCAAATATACAGAGGGAAAAGTCTCTAAGAGTACTCTGGTGAAGAGTGTATATTTTATTTCCTAAGAAGTCATTTCTGAGAGAGTGCAAAAATAATAATTAATATTAATTAATTAAATGATAAAACAAAAAGTATTTCTACAAACCCCAAGAGGAAACCTCTCGTTACCTTTTTATGTCATTTTGGTGATGACCTAGTTTAAAATTCAAAGGAGATAAAAGTACAGTGATGCTTGTTTTTTCCTTGTCTCTTGCTTTTTTGCACCTCCTATTCCCCTCGTGCTTTCTAAAGCCTCTTTCATGGCTGACTCCTGCAATTTTACCATTTTGTCTCAGCAGCCCTGTCCCTTTCCTTATTTTCCATATATTCCTTCTTTGTAATACAAACATGTTTTGTTGCTCATATTTGCATTAGGGGTTCTACCATTTTAACAATATCCACAGGATTCTCCTGCTTTTTTTATTTTTTTGTCATTTATAGTTCTTGAAGAGCTTTTTTACTTACCCCAGAGGATAATCTACCACTTGTATTACTTCTGACAGATGAGGATTTTAAATCTTTGCTTATTGTTTGTCTTAGTTTTACTTGTAGTTGGCCCCCACAGCCCTAGATGCAATCTCTTGTGTTTTCACTTATGCAGATGTCTGTAATGAAAGGAAACACTTGGGAACACCACAGAGAAAACACAGCTATTCTACTATAACCAGAGCCACAGTGCTAAATGATCTCCAGCAAAAAATAAAAATAAAATAAAACAGAAGGCGAATTGAAAGAAGTGAAAGGCTTGCACTGTAATTCAAAAGAACTAAACAGATGAGGCATTTATAAGGTCATGCACACACCAGCATAAATACTGAAGTAGTCCCCATAACACTCATACTCTGGAACGACTTGTACATTTTCTTTTTGTGAATATGCTTCAGCCTATAATCTCATAATAGGGATAAGAGTTCTAACAACCTTTTTATCTTCACATGTTGGTGAGTGTTACATTAAACAAGAAGAATTTCACTTTTTTGATTAAATGGACAAAAATGATACTATGCTGAAGGGTTGCACAAAATATTTTCAGCATCCCAAAGCCCAGTTAAAAGGGATGGATTCAGCTGGGCATAGTGGCTCACACCTGTAATCCCAGCACTCTGGGAGGCTGAGGTGGGCGGATCACCTGAGGTTAGGAGTTCGAGACCAGCCTGATCAACATGGAGAAACCCCATATCTACTAAAAATACAAAATTTGCCAGGCGTGGTGGCGCATGCCTATAATCCCAGCTACTCAGGAGGCTGAGGCAAGAGAATCTCTTGAACCCAGGAGGTGAAGGCTGCAGTGAGCCGAGGTTGCACCATTGCACTCCAGCCTGGGCAACAAGAGCAAGTCTCAAAAAAAAAAAAAAAAAAAAAAAAAAAAGGCGGGGGGAGTGGATTCATGCAATTGTCATCACAAATGCTGTAGAAATTCATTGACTTTTCTTGTTTTGTAGGTTAGACAGAACTGACAGTGATCTACTGAATCACTTTCAAAGCCAAAATCTAATGCTTTTACTTTGAAATATCACCAGAATAAACCGGCCACCATCATCCTGTATATAAAATTTTCTCATCTAACATATAATTCCCTTTTTTCAAATATTGAAACATGTATATAGTTTCATTATACATGTAAACATGTAAAAATAATGGAACATGTAAATAGTTCAATTATTTCAGAGGCCAAACATTTGGACAATTTAGGTAAAATTACTCTTCTATATGTATCCTTCTAAAATTAATCCTTAAAGTGGCCTATAGATTTAGTTTTCTTGAAATTTCTGAGTTACAAACACATTCAATGTTTCTTTTGGGCCCTTTGTTTATTGTCATATAGCAATGTAAATTACTTGAGAATGAAATAGTGGTTAGGTAGAATCATGAATACATGTAAATAAAACCAGCTACTGCTACTCATTAGATGTACTGTTCTGTCAAGAAACAACCACGACGTCACATTTATTAAAAGTAATGATAATACTTAGACAATTAATAAGGTCTGGACTGTTTTCAGATTCTTTGAAACCCACAAATAACCATTAAAAAGGAAATCTGGGAAAAACTAGAATTTAAAAGACATGCTTAAAAATCGAATATGAAAAATGAAAAAACAGCATTTTAAAATATACGTTCTATCATGACAATTGAAATTATTTTAACTCGTTAATATTCATCATTTTGTGCTCAGAAATATTTGAAGGGTAATATTCTAAATGGTGCTTTTTGCTATTAATACATTAACATTATTGCTACATCTTAAACATGTTTATCAAAAAATTTCTAATCCAAAAATTCAACACCAATGTTGCCCTTGAGGGACATTACTTCTAATCATACTTATATAATGTGGCCTTAGGAATTACTTTTCTAGTGAACTAAAAACCAGTTCAAGCCCTAAACCATGAGGCAAGTGTATAAATCCTGCCTACAAAAAGAAAAGTGTTTGCAGCTAACTGGTAGACAAATCAATGAGTTCCTTGATCCATGTAGATATGAACCATTAACAAATGATGCAGTGAGAAAAAGGACTTTCTCAGTTAGTTGTCGGTGTATTTTGTGACAAGGCAAAAATAACGTTTAGATAAAAGAAGACCTAAGGTGAAATGTGTGGAATTGATCTCATCCCCACAGGCCTGGCTTGACTTGTGTAAGAGACTTTGTGTGTGAATGCATATGTTTTCATTTGTCAGTGGTGATTCTTAAAAGGTTTGTGCATAAGTGATTTTCTCTCACCAGTAGACTTGAATTAAGTGAAGCATTAAGGAAATAAATTTGTCTCCACTGAAAAGACAAGTTTCTAACTATTTTGTAAAATCTCATCTAAATGAATAGAGTTTCACTTTGGTGAAGAGGTTTATTCTTAGAAAGAACTCCCAATTCTTTATACTCCAGTTCTGTAAAAAAAAAAAAAAAAAAAAAAAAATCAGGTGCTTTCCATGTGCTTGACAAATAGTAAATGTTTAATGAATACTGTTGAATTTCATAAAGAAATTCAAAATTCAATGTTGACATAGAATAGAGTTTGGTTAGTGTTAACAATAAATGAAAGAAAACAATGGAAAATGAAGCAAACTTTCTAGATTAAGGAAATGTATAATTGCATTTAATCTGGAATAATGTACAGAAAGTCAGAAAATATATAAAAAATTGCAGTGGTTGCATCTTAAAGGGATTACAAAAAGTGAATATTTAGACTTACAAAATCAATTACTAATATTATGAAACACATCTGTATTTTAAACATAATATATTAAATATATCTCATAAAAATTCTTCCAATATTTCATTAACATGTTTTTTCATGAAGTGTTAATTACACTGAAGAGGAGCAAAAATGGAGGGAGCAATAATAAAGCAATTCTACCATATTAGAATTGATTAAAAATCAATAATGCAATAGATTAAACACCTCTTAAATGGTAATATGGGAATAGAAAAATGCAACGTGGTTTGCTAAACTTCCGGTTATACATATTTTTCCAGAGAGGTGGCAGGATATATTGGAAAGGGCACTCTCCCACTACCTGGGTTTGGTGATGTTTCTTGTACCCACAAGAATGGCATGATTGTGGCAGTAGCTTTGCCAACCTCTCAGGGTAATATCTGAAGTCCAAGCTTTGCCGACCTCTCAGGCTAATATCTGAAGTCCAGTCAACTTGTAAAACAAATATTTATGTTTGTCAGTGTCAGGTTGTTGAACCCCAGACAAGTCAATTAATAAGCTCTCTGCACTTTGTAGGTGTAGCAGTAGAGCCATGACCTACAATAGCTCTTTTTCATAACTGAAAATAATTATTATCACCATTTCACAGATTAAAAATCTGAGCTTTACAGAGGTGCAGTAACTTGCCCAAGGCCACCATCACTAGAGCTGTGATTCTGAACTCAGGCCTGATTCCCAGCAACATATATTAATACTTTCCCTTTCTGACTTTCGATTTTCTTGATGTCTCAAAGTTTTCTGCCTTGTTTGTAAAATGAACAACATATCATCTAATTCAAAACCTTGTCAGGATGAAATTAGGAACAATAGATGATACATAAAGGGCATAACTCAATCCCTGGCATATATAAAATTCTTTTAAAAAACAAATATTTGTTACTCTAAGATCAAATGGCTAGCAAGGAAACACTACAGAATCATGGTCAAGGGGGCCTGCTTTAGGCTGAGACTCACTGGGCTGGGGCCATGTCCCACCTTTGCCCCTTATTACATATAACCTTGAGCAATACATCAGCTCCCCTGTGGCTCTCTTTTGTAAATGGGAGTTATAACTTGATCTCTCTCATTAACCTGTTTGAGGATTAAATGAAATAACACATGAAAAGTATGTTACCTGCGACATAAGGAGCACCTGTGGTAATGCAGAAATATTTTGTAAAGCATTTAAATATTCTACATTATTTGTCTTCATTTAAATTTATAATCATAGACAGAAAGCTAAAATAAGATTTCAGAAAACAATCATTTTTCCATGACATGTAATTCAATACAATAACATCCCTTTATGAAAACTAATAGTACCACAGCTAAAAATAAGGAAGCTATGCAAATGATATGACACATTTTATAGTGGATACATACAGGGTTCATATTTTAATTTAAAAAATGTCTTTGTGTTTTTTTTAGATGAAAAAAAGTTCCAAAGACCATGTTTGAAAAGTCAATCTTTAAATGTGTTCCAGTAATTACCCAGGCAATCTAAAATTGATATGATTGATTGAAATAATTGATTGCAGCCTGCCAACTTTACCTTTCTTAATTATAAAATACAATTTCAGTTTCGTGCCTTCCAAACCAAGGTTTACAAAAGCTAAGAGAACTATTCCGTTCAGCCTCTGATTATATCAGCAGTGCCATTTTTCAGGTCCTATCAGATTGGGTTTGGATGATAATTACTTGGAGAGTGTTTGATCTCAATAATGAATACATGATTAGTTTTTCATGAAATCAGTCAACCACACCGCACAGCACTACTCATGTGAGACCTTGTTGATTTAGCTGTTAGAAAGCACACATTTCCCTCGGTTCATATATGGGACATCAGTCTTTGGGGAAAAGAGGGTAGAAAAAGGCCAAGTTTATGGGTAATGATATTGCAGAGTCAGGTATTTAAGATTTGCTAATTTTCTTCTCAGTTATACTCATGACTTACCTCGTTGTCATACCTACTACATGACCACAGTTTCTATCTCAGTTGTGGCATATATTGTTTTGTTTTTTCAAAAGAAAGAAAAAGATTTTATGACACTATTGTTATCTCTCAACCCCTTAGAGGGTTTTGCCTCGATGAATAATATTTTATATGTGAAATGTTTATGTGATTTTTCATGGAGTGATAACCCCACTACTGCTTAACTTTGATGCATTGCAATCACTGGTTTTCTTCACTAAAGTGCTTTTACACACCCCTCCCATAAATTGACTTAAGAGTTAGAAATGGAACATACGACACAACTTGGATGCTCAATGGAAAATTGCCTAAGAAAGTATTTTATGTTAGGTTTACAAAGTAATACATACACACACACACACACACACACACACACACACACACACACACTTTTTCTAGAAGGCCTGGTTTGAGGATGTTGTGTTTCTTTGTTGATTTGTGTCTGTGTATATGTGTGTTTTTCTACGATATAAGCTGTTTCTCTGAGTCAATATAACTTGCATTTTCTTAAATTTCAAGTGATCATATTCAAAGATCAGATAAAAGGATCCAGTTGTCAGTCTTTAAACAGCATGCATTTGTTTAAAAAGATAGAAGCATTGAACTTTGAAAGAAAAAGAAAATAAATTCTGTTTATTTTCTGTATTTGTCTGATGTTATTGACTTAAGAAAAGTCCTACAATAAAAATTCTTTAGATTATTTTTAATGAAAAGATACTTTATAAATGTAAAGTTTTAAATTTTTAGCTAATTTTCATAATTAAAAAGTCACTTTGAAGAAAGATTATATATACCATGTATTTCTATTTAATTTGGATTATTCTGTTTCAAAAAAAAATCTTTATCACAGTGTCAAATAATACTTTTGCCAAGACATGTCCAGTTTTTTAGGGTAAAGGAAGTAACTATTTTGGAAACCTATCTGAATGTTTTGAAATCTAAACTCTAGTTTTAATTCCATAACTGAGACATTGGGACATTTTATACCAGGGTTTCTCAACCTGAAAGCTACTGACATTTTAGACCAGATCATGACACTTCTTTGTTGTGAAGGACTGTCCTGTGCATTTTTACCAGGTTCCCCTCTACCCACTAGATGCCAGTGGCACCTCCATGCCAATCTTATCACGTCTCTAGATATCGACAAATGTCCTTTGGGGTCAGTGTTGCCCCAACTGAGAACTATTTTAGACAAAAAGCACTGGAGAGATGGGCTTAAATTATTCAAATAATGAGAACCTAATTTTTCTTATTGGAAGGGGTGGGGGTGGTAAAGAATGATACAGACTTATATTATTTCTTTCACAGAAATCAGTCACTAGTGCATGTTAATAAACGATGTTTGTCCAATAGATTAAGAATAGGCCCTGAATAATATGCAAATGCCAATGGCTACTTAGTACCATAGCCTCTCTTCCATTATATAAGGCAGTTCTACATCTGAAACTTAGCATTTTGAATAAAAAAAGATTAGAAAAATAAGTTCAAAAAACATAAGAATTAAAAGAGCAGACAGTTTATTTGGATGATAGTCTTTAATAAAACTGATAAATTACTATGAGGTCATTTATTAATGTAAATTATTTAAGCATATTCTTATTGCACTAGGAAAAGATACAATGCCTTTACAATATTGTGAATATAGCCAAATTTATAAAATGAGCAGAAACCCTGATGTAGTTGAGGAAAGATTATCTCAATGCTATAAAATCTTCATTGACTCTGACTTAGCTATTATCTCATTATTCCTTTCCAAAGGAAGAACACTGTCAGGATGACAATACAAACAAACCTATAGTGGAGTCCAGTTTTTGTCATTTGGAACTAGGAAATGCATGTCTGTATTGAATAGCAACCACCATAGCAAAGACATAAATGCCACTGATTTGGAATAATAAATTTTAGGACATGGCAGACTCAGATCAGTGTAATAAACTCAAACATTGATTTTACATTTAGAAAACATATATCTAACACTAGACCATAAGAGATACCTGGGATTGGTTTCTCTTCCAGCAGAGTCATAGGACTTTGAAAGAGAATCTATAGTACTTATCTTATTTTAGTCTAAAATGAAACTGAAATGCAATTATGACAAATAGATTCTTATTACTATTGCCAAAGATATGGGTTGACTATCAATGCAATTACTTGTTGTATTAAAAATGATGTTGATAACATTGGTTTGAAAACGTTTTTCCAAAACTAAAAATATAAAATAAAATAAAGGTTTTTCCAATGTTCTACTCTAATATTTCTTCAAGATCTTTAAACCAGCCTGTTAGCTAGTTTAAATAATGGTTTAATAATAGCTAAAATAGGTAACACAAAATAAGCTTTTGCAATGTACCAAGCAGTGCCATAAACTCTTGACATATATCATCTCATTTAATCTTTAAAACAACCCTATGTGGTAGGTCCCTCATTACTACCCTTATTTGCAAATGAGGAACCCGCAGGGAAGAGATATTAAGCAATGCTTCCCTTGGTCAACTAGTTAGAAATGCAGATGGGATTTGAACAAGACAGACTATCCCCAGATTTTGCTCTCTTAACTAATAACCTATAGCTATATCATCTATATTGATATGTCTGTAAAATAAATGGTGTAAAACTATTACTTAAGCCATGACTTTGGTGAACTGAGGCCCAGAAAGATTAAGTAATATGCTTAGATCAAATAACTGAAACAAAGGCCATCAATTTTGAACAGAATTTTTAATCCTTAATTCATAACTAGAATACCACTAATCTACCATGGACACGCATATGCATCTATATCATTCTTCCAAATAGCGGTAATGGTTTTGCTTTGATCCACATCCAGACACACTTTCTTGGAGGAGTACTATTTGTGACCAAGAGCACACATTTGTGAGCTAGCTCTCGTTGAGGAGTTAGCCTATGGCCTGGAAACACAGCAATGCTGAACAGCAGACACAGAACGAACTGCCGCCTTGACCTCGTTAGCCATACCAGCTAAACTAACTGGCTGCAGAGAAGTGAAAGCATGCTAAAACAGGGAACTAAAAAAAAAAAGTGGAGAAACACAGTACATTGTCTTCTTTTGCTGGGTGATGTTTCTTTCTTGGTTATTAATCACAAATTATAATGGAATTCTAATTTCTAACTAGATCCCTAGAGATCAACTCTGGGTCTTAATGAATTGTCACCATTCCACTGATATCAAGAAAAATGGATAAAAGTGCACAAAGTCTTATAATATCAGTACTGTCCCAGGAATGAATGCTAGCAAAGCTAGCAGCATGATAGCCCACTCCCATGTCACAAGGAGTTACTGCTAAGCTAAATGCTCCTTCACCTCACACGTATTGAAAAACTTTGTGGACAAAACTATACTTCTTTAGTCTGGCTCACATTTAAATCAAGTGCTTTGGAATGATGAATAGATTCATTGCTTAGGGTAAGGAGGCAGCTGCTTGGCGCACCATGACTGGAGGGCTGGGGCTTCAACTACTTTTGCCACGAGATGCCTCCCCTCAGGCATTGTGGATCATTTCTGCACAAGGAGTTGCCTTGGGTGGTAGGCTAATAGGAGCAACACCAGGGTTCCCGTGACAGTGTTCATATAAGTAAGTGACTGGAGATAGATTTATTAATAGAAACAATAAGGAGGGAAACAATAAGGAGGTTAGGAAACAGGAGAAAAATTATTCTGGTAATAATGTGGGGTCTCCAATCAAGCCCAGGTTAAGGGAGACTTGTCTTTAAATAACAGTGAAAAATCAGGCTTTCTCTATGAGACCAGAGTAAAGCCACCTTTCTATATAGGAATTTAAAATGTTTATAGCCCTAGGGAATAAACACAGACCTCTGAATCAAGGACAGGTGTGCAATATAAGACTTGCCTACGTATCACAAAAAAAAAATATAAGAAATTTACATTAAGCATCCTTCTGAGCAAGAGATGATCCAGCTAAGATGCTGCTTCTGACTGCCGAGAAAATAGAGGCTAAAATTACAGACCAATAAATAATCTTCACATAATGAAAGGATGGAGAGGACTCTGCTCCAGCTGAATGAGGATGGCCCTTCATGAATTATTAGGAGGGACTAGAGTGTGTGGAAAGGTGGGAGTCCCATTATGTGTCTTACAGATTCTAGGCATCTTCCTTGGGTCATTTCATTGACTCCTGAAAATAACTCTTAAAAGTGAAAAAAATGAAGGCTCAGAATGACGAAGCAATTTGTCTGGGATCTCAGGGTTTAGCTAGTAAGTAGTAGAGAGAAGAGTAAACTCAAGTCTGGCTTCTTTTCCTATATCAAACTTTCTTTGGTCCTTCTTTTGATCTAGGCCAACATTTTAGTATCTTTCCTAGATCGTGTGTCACTGGCTGCTCTGTTTTCATCATCTACTCTCTAGCCCATGGCCCAGACTGATTGGGTTATTCTCTTCAGTCAGTTACATCCCAGGGAAGGAAAGACACCATCATAGCTTTCCTGGAGGTGAGCAAGATACAGGAATCAGACCTCTCTTGCCTATAGTTGTGGTATTTAGCGGTGGAAGACAATAATGAATCTGTTGTCTTGATGGAACACAAAGGTCAGAGACAAGATAAACAGGAATTTTATCTGAGGAATTCCGAAGGCAGCAAGCAGAAACTGGGGATGGCCTTACATGAGGTTTTCCCAGGCTGACTTGAATGGACCTTTCAGGTACATCTAAAAGGTCCAAAATGAAATGGACCCTGGTTTCAATACTGATCCATGCTATTTACAATGGACCGATCAGTTTCTGTGGCAGAAGTAAAACACCAGTAAGAAAGAATTTTCCATCTGTGTATGGAAACTATACGGTTCCCCTTTGATTATTCAGTCTTTGTTATTTCATATGGTTCCTTAACTCTGCCTATTTCAGTCCCCATTAGCACTTCACAGATTTCAAAAACTGCTGGAAGTCAATCATGCCCTCATTGCTGTCTAATACTAGTGACAATGCTCCACAGCTGCTCTTTCCAGATTCAGTGGGAGTGTGAAAAATGCCGCTCCACCCACAGCCCCTAAGCCTTTGGCAACTTAATATTTTGAAGTTTAAGCTCTGCTCCCTGAAAGGCTCAATCCCATTATCAGCGGATTCCTTACTATATGGCATAACATATATTCCTTACAATACTCCTTACTATATAGCATAACATACTATACTAACATATAGTGTGTTTTGTTATTCTGGCTGAAGTCATTTCAATCTACATGAGCTATGGTTGGAACAATCCAATGCTCTCAATTGCACTATTTGCATATTGCCCCCTTATACATAGGCTTCAGGATTATATTTAAGGCTCTGAGCCAGACTGGGAGGAAAACAAGGAAATCTAATAAATGGTTTCTGCCCTGAAGGCCTCTGATCATCTAGTTGAATAAACAGGCAAACTTTAAACCAAAAGAGCGGGAGTTCTGAGAATGTTGTTCAAATGCCAATCCTAGGTACACAACATTGATTGTTTTCTCTTTGTCCCCCATTAAATGTTAGAAGGTGGCACTGGATAAATGACTGTAAAAATTTTATATAATAATGGAATTATTTTGTTGGTGAATTCTTACTGGAATCTCAGTATTTAATTTTACAAGATGGGTTTTGATAATAACAGTAATGATGAAGAAATAGTTGAAAGATTGCTGTTTTAATAAGTATTGGGGATGAGACTCAGAGCCTTATTTACTTGACATCCTCCAAAAACCACTGCACTTCACCTTATCCTACCATGATGTCTCCCAAGGAAGCTCCAAAGGACACAGTGTAGGATCCACTTAGTCTGATCATGCGTTTATTTCCTTCTAGCTCCTATCCACAGCTTCTTAAGCAGCTAACCAAGATAAATTATGAGAGAAGACCATCAGAGATAATATAAGACGATACATTTTTACAAGAATAATACAGAAAATAAGAACTGTGAGTTCAGAGAGCAAGCAATCATTGTACTCCTGCAAAGCAGGCTTTCAGGGCTTCACATAGAAGGAGAAGCTTTAAATGATGAGTAGACAGAAAAATGGACTTTTCAGGGAGTTCCAAGGAAGGGCACAAAGATGCTGAGGCTGAACTTAAAAGGACATGCTTTGGCAGGATGCAGTGGCTCCCTCTGGTAATCCCAGCACTTTGTGAGGCCATGGCTGGAGGATCTCTTGAGCTCAGGAGTTCGAGACCGGCCTGGCCAACGTGGTGAAACCCTGTCTCTACAAAAAATACAAAAATTAGCCGGTCATGGTGGTGCATTCCTGTAGGTCCAGCTACTCAGGAGACTGAAGTGGGAAGATCATGAATCCGGGAGGCAGAGGTTGCTGTGAGCTGAGATCACACCACTGTACTCCAGCCTGGGTGATACAGCAAGACCCTGTCTCAAAAAAAAAAAAAAAAAAAAAAAAAGACACACTTAAGGAATGATAATAGTGCCTTAAATTATTGGAAACTCCCGACTGCCAGGGATGATGTGGAGTTTTGACATAACCACAATCCTCACAGCCATCCAGTGAGATAGGTACGATTAACCCAAGATAGGAGAACTGAGGCTCAGGAAGCTGAATAGAAACCTCTCCAAAGTCACACAACTCTAGGAATTAGTGGTTTCTCAATTGGCTCTGCCTGACTTGAGTTCACACTGTAAATCACTCTGCTGTCACACCGGGTGTGCATATGGGATTAGACAAAAATAAAGCTATGAAGACCGGTTGGGGTCAGAGTGCAGAAGAACATGATTTCCTGGGTATGGAGTTGTTTGCTGTTTATCCTCTAGATGAGGAAGAGACATCAAAGTTTTGTGGACAGTGAAATAGCATGCTCAAATTGTATTTTAAGATGATTTTGTTCTAGTTTTATTGGACTTGTTTTGATAGGATGCATGCACTAAAATCAGGAGTGTTGTTAATTGTACTGTGTTGTTTTACTAAAATCTAGTTTACAATGACATTATCTGTCATAGATTACCAAGCACACAGTGATTGCATTGGAAGGACAAAATCAAAATTTTCTACATTGTTAGCTTTTATTTCTCTTTTAGAGAAAGTTCTTTTCTGTATATAACACATTAATTTAATTTTATTTATTTTTTATAACTTCAACTTTCATTTTAGATTCAAGAGGTACACATATAGGTTTGTGTAATAGTTACTTTACACTGCTAATAAAGACATACCTGAGACTGGGTAATTTATCAAGAAAAAGAGATTTAATGGACTCACAGTTCCTCATGGCTGGGGAGGCCTCACAATCATGGTGGGAGGCAAAGGAGAAGCAAAGGCATGTCTTATACAGCGACAGGCAAGACAGAATGAGAACCAAGGGAAAGGGGAAATATAGAACCATCAGATCTCGTGAGACTTATTCACTACCATGAGGACAGTATGGGGGAAACCACCCCATGATTCAATTATCTCCCACCAGGTCCCTCCCACAACACGTGGGAATTATGGGAGCTATAATTCATGATGAAATTTGGGTGCATATTGTGTGCTGTTGAGGTTTGGGGTACAATTTATCCTGTCATCCAGATACTGAGCATAGTACCCAATAATTATTCAACCTTTCTCCCTGCACCCACCTAATACTCCCCAGCATCTACTGTTGCCATCCTTATGTCCATGAGTACCCAGTGTTTAGCTTCCACTTATAAATGAGAACATGTGGTATTTGGTTTTCTGTTCCTGCATTAATTTGCTTAGGATAATGAACTTCAGCTCTATCCAATGCTTGAAAGCTTTAAAGTTAAGTTACCATTGGAATATATTGAGCTAGAATTGTTCATGTGTCCTATATTTTCCGTCAATCAATGGCCGCATTTGCTATTTGTTTCCTAAGTCAAAATGATCATTGAAATGAGCCAATTCTGCTCTTTAAAACTTTAACATATTCTAGCTAGATGAAAAACTTTATAAAAGTTTGTGCTTATTGTTTTTATATCCTATAATTATAGAGAAATAGCTAGAAATTATAGTTTATTTAAACATTACCATATTTAAACAATAATAGGGAGGTAAGTAAAACAGAAAGTCCTAAGAATCTATGGCAGACTTTTTGCTGTCGAATTTTAAAGAAATGCCAAACACATAAAACCAGATAACCACTGAAATGTGTACATACCAGTTTCCCAGACTTCAATGATACATATAATGTTTTTAGACAGCCTTTGTGTACAGTTGTTTGGAATCATTTTGTCACTTTTAACAAATATCATGTTCAAAAATTGTCAGTTTCATAATAGCTGATTCTGACTAAGCTTATGCTATGATCCAGATATCATTAATTCATTCATTCATTTGACAAATATTTGTTGAAAATTTAATAGATGCTAAGACACTGTTAGCAGTATTCTAAATGCTGGGTAAATAGTACTGAATAAGACACATAAATACCTTGGCATCATGGGGCTTTCATCTAGTAAGGGACCCTGGCAGGTATGTGTCTCATCCAGAGCATTTTCAAGATATGAAGTCAGTATTACATGTTTTATGCTGATGGGAATGATAGAAGAAACTATGATGAGGGGCAGCAATTGTAGGTATTGATGTCTTGATTAGATAAGAAAGGAGGAAATTAGAGCATACATGCATTTATCTGGCTCTAAAATTTTCATTCTTTACATGCCATTATAGCAATATTTTTTTAAAAAGATTTAAGTGTTTGGGACTTTAGGAAATATACATATATATTTTATATTTTTAAATATATATATTTTTCTATATATATATATATGTAAACTTCCAAGGAAAATGAATACAGAATGGTTTAGCATCTAGCTCAAGAGGGATGCCATTCAGCATGCATGAAAAAGAGAACAAGCGTATGTTAAAATTTGAGATACATCATGACGAGGGTCCAAGTGGGACTATGTGAATGGAAAGATGGAGTTGAAAGAAAGCAGAGAGACACAGACATGAAAGGAGAGAGAAGCAGATGGCTAAATATCCCTAAGGTGGAGAAGTTATTGACCAAAGTGAGTCATTTAACAAAGGTCCATTCATTTACAAAGGACCACAATGATGTGTTTTAATTTTTTAAGTTGTCCTTTCAAAGCATTTTGAGCTTTCACCACCTCAAAAGGCACGTTAGTAAATTAAGCATAAATGTTATAGATGCAAGTATAGTCATTTTAAACACAAAGTTGTAGAATGGATGATTCTATGATTTACGCATTTGACATTTCTATATAACATTCATTGATAGAACATACTCATTTGAGTTGATACATAATCACATGATATTTGCTTGTTAGAAATAATCAAAATTCTATTATTATGTTTACACTAACTAGAGGTGAAGATTTAAGAAAATTCTTCATTTTCCAGGTAATAAAGGCAGTACCGATCTGGATCCCTTGATACCAGAAAAGCTTTTTGCAAGATTAAATGGGATTACCATCAATAGGCCCTCAGGGTGTTTGGATTTGAATTAAAATATGGAAACCTTATTAACAAAATTTACATTCCTCCCTTAACCTTAATCTAATTTTACTGGTATCTTGGCCTCTAATATACAGCAATTCTGCAGAAAGGTGCATGGCTTATAACCCATTTTTGTCATCCTAATCAGAAGTCACTGATCATTCCAGAGGAAAATAGATGCATGAATTTTAAACTGGTCATCACGTTCACGTTTTTTAAAAAAAGTATTACAAACCAATATTTTATTCATGAAAACATTAAATATTATATTACTAGCAAAACATTTTCTGGTGCCTTGAAATTTATTCTAGAAGGAAGAGTTTTCTTTTACTTCTCACCTAAGTGCTGTTCTTCAGCTGACTATGCTCCATATTCCCCAAGACCACTGACAGTGGCTTCATTCTCTAACAGGAACAATTTACCTGGACCCTCTGCAGACAAGGCCTTCACCCCCAAGGAATTGCATTAATAGTGATAATTTCATGCACTGACACTGGCAACGGGCTTTATGGAGAAGACAAAGGGGCCTTGGAATTTCACCTTCTCTTACGGGGAATTACTTCTACTGTCATTTGTAGGAGCCAGGACAGAAAGGGTGGGGCCCCAAGGTGAAATATGGAAATAAATTGCTTTGAGACATTCTCAATGATCCATGTTTCAACAGTCACGGAAATAGCCACTTATAAATAGTCACTCATATTTAAATGGCCAAGCAAATGAAATAATTGAAGCTGGAGAGGGAGGCCACATTATTGAGTCCAATATGCTTATCCTCATAATTTAAGTACTGCAGAACAATATACTGACAGTTATGTCTCAAAATCAATGAAAATATATTCATTTTACAACAAAATTGCCATAGATTCTAATTCAGAATTCCAATTCAGAAAACATTCATACAGAATATCTTCTAAGTTTCAAAAATGTATCCATCCAGAATTTTCTACATGACTATCCTAGCCAAGCTTTTATAAAGCTAAGAAAAATTAGATAGAAGACAATATCCTCAGCTTGTTTGTTCTCTAGAAAAGAGGATAGTTTTGTGTATTCTACTCTTAATTTATGGTAGAGACAGACAATTCACCAAGTTTTTTTTTAAGTATATGAAACTGGAGGTGTATATGTGCACTAAGATATCTTAGATATATTCTCCCAAAGCATGAGTGCCATGTGACCATATCCTTTGGAGGTGACATCTTATAATGCCTGGTTCTCAACAGAGAATTTGGAAGAGCAGTTTTTGTGATTATATTAAGAGTTACAATTATCAAAATGAAAAAGTCTAAGAATTGGGAGGGTGGGGATGGGGGATCCTGCCAACTTCGGTTTTGCTACAGATAAGCTTTGTCTACAGCTAACTCAGAGAGAGAATATGAGGTCAAAGGAAAATTCGTTCTGAAAAATTGAAAAAGCAACTCCAGCTTATTGTGATGTTACAGAATAGTGCTAAGAGACATATAATACAAGTCATAAATTGAGTCACACATCGTTTTACATATTCTAAGTCACTTTTTAAAAAGTAAAAAACAGATAAAACTAACTTTCATAAAATCTATAACCCAATGTATTCAGAATAATATCATTTTAACATATAATTCATATAAAAATGAATGAGATATTTACATTATTTTCCCATACTAAGTCTTCAAAATACATTGTATTTACACATACACCACAGCTCCATTTGGGCTAACCATCTTTCAAGTGTTCAATACCCCACGTGTGGCCAGTGGCTACCAACATAGATAGCACAGTTTTATAGTATAAACACACAAATAATTTCTCTTTCTTTTGTTCTGAGTTCCTGCCTTCTTTCCTCCCTCCCTCTTCTCCTATCTCCCTTCCTTTCTCTATTTTATCCCTTTCTTCTTTCCTTCCTGTCTTCTTCTCTTCATCTTCCTTCCTCCTAGTCATTCTTTCTCTCTCTCTCTCTCTGTCTCCTTCTGTCTATGAGTGCTCTATATGCTAAGGATACAATAGTAATAACTACAGGCCTGGACTCGAAATCATGAAAATGATTTTTTTTATAAAAAACGCTACAGATACCATTTAAAGACACATGAAATCATACTCACTAGTTAAAAATCCAGCCACAAATATGGCTACAAGAGAAAGTGTGCAGCATGAACAATTACACAATTCACAGTATACATGGTCCAGCATTGCTAAGATAACTCAAACCAATTGCTCTAGAGAACTATCCTCTTCTGTCTTTATAAATCTGAACTATTATACCAAGGTAAAATATGAATACAAAATGGTGGCCTACTCTATAAAGGGTGTCTGTGGTGCTTTTTTCAGATTTACTGGAAGAATTAAGACTCTGCTCTACAACACACTAGAAACCAGAGTCTATCAGTACTATCTGAAACCCTTATGCAATATCTGTGATAAAAACTGATCTTTATGAAAAGACTTGGATCCTGAAAAATTTAAGAAAAATTGAACTGGTAGTATTGTTTTACTATTCCATGCTTTTTCTGCAATTCAAATTATCTAACAGGTGGTCAACCTTCTTATTATATGTCCAAAACAATAAGCCTCTTACTATCTAACCCCGAAAGACTACAGTGGTATCATGGAGCCAGAACTAAACTTTGTGAACATAAAATGATGAAAATCCATTAAAAATGTAATGCAAAAAATAAACTATAAAACAAAAGTGTTATAACTCCATTCAAAAAATAAATGCACTATATTTTTGAAAATCAGTAAGTAAATATATTAGAGCAAATTTTATTTACCACACAAAATATGAAGAACTCAACAATAAAATAAGAAATGATAAATTCTTGGGGTGACAGATGCCCCATTTACCCTAAAGTGTCTATTAAACATTGTATGCCTGTATCAAAATATCTCATATATCCCATAAATGTATGCATCTATTATGTACCCATACAAAATAAAAATTTTAAAAAATTTAAAACAGAACATTTATCAAGATTTTCAAAAATAATGATAGCAATTTTAAGCGCATTGGATGTCTTCAAACCAATATTCAGGTTCTTTAAAAACTGAAGCTTGGCTGGTTGCAGTTGTTCACACTTGTAATTCCAGCACTTTGGGAGGCTGAGGTGCTTAAGGCCAGGAGTTCAAGGCAAGCATGGGTAACATGGCAATATCTCTACATTTTTTTCTTTTAGTTAGTTAGTAGGGAGCGGTGGCACATGCCTGTGGTCATAGCTATGCCAGAGACTGAGGCAGGAGGATATTTGAGCCCAGGAGTTCCAGGCTACAGTGAGCTATGATCATGCCACTTTACTCCAGCCTAGGTGACAAAGCAAGACCCTGCCTCTTAAAAAAAAAAAAAAGAAAGAAACTCATCTCTTATGTGACATAAAGGGAAAGATTCATATACATTTAACTATAAAAAGTATTAGAAATATTTACTTATGCTACAGAATATCATTTTTAAATAGAATGTTAACATTTCTAAACAAACTACATTAACATGTACTTCTCTAATCAGGTAACCAAGGCTGAATATGCAAGTCCTCAAAATGGGGAGCTACCTTAGGATCAGGACTAGACTCTCCTTTAATAAGAAAAGGTCTCAGATAGATCGTCTCAATCACTCCTAAAAATAAAAATTTAGGATTTTAATAGATCCTAAGGCTCACAAAGTGTGGCCGTCCTCCCCGATCCCAAGCACACACAATAGACCATGAATTACTCTACCTTGACTTTAGTCTCATCCAAAGGCGAAAGGGACAAAAGAAAAGAATTGCAGGCATTATATTTAAAATATATATATATATTGATATTATGTACCATTATGTTCACTAGAAGACAACAACTAAAATATCAATACTTCCCAAAGGCAAAATGAAATGGCTAAAGATGTATTTATTGATTTCTAAAGAAATATTACTAAGACACTGGAATAATAACTCACCACTATTGTCATTGAAAAGGTCTTGGCTCTTTCCAAAGCTGGGGACAGATATCCAGAATATATGATGGTGTTCAAATGTTGTGTTGTGGAACATACTTGAATTGAGGACAGAGGGATTTAACCTGAACCCAATCTATTCTTTATATTTTCTCTTATTGTTGTTCTCTATTTCTTTTAAAACATTGAAAATTGTAATTAATTACTTTGAAATCCAGTGTGAAGCCGCAATCACTATCCATCAACTTGTGTTGACATAATGCATTTATACATTGAAACCTTTCTAAAAATACATGCAGGATGGGTATAGAGAAACTTGTATACGCAGGAAAATTGCCACGCACTCTATGGGGAACTGGAATTTTTTTTCTCAAATAAAAGGAATACATGTAATGACATATTTTTTTTCTTTTTGGTTGACAATTGTCTCCCTTTTCTGTAGATCCTAATGGTCAAATAATGGATCTTGCCAACCATTATGAGCTTCACCCCAGCTGGGGACCCATAACTTTTATTGTGGTCCATTATCTGGCCATTAGAGGCCACAAGTGTCTTCAACACAATTGTGTAACATTTTGCTGAGGAAAAGGTGTGGAAACTGTGGAGGCAGCAGGTTTTCTAGTATCTAAACCCATGGAAACTCCAAAACCTCCTATATTGAGACCATTCATTTTCCTTATGCTGAAATTTTTACAGTGTATGCCTCTTAAATAAAGTTTGCTTATCCAGCCTTATTGGGAAACCAAATATTCAACTCAGAACTGGCATGAAACCATTCCCCTTTTCCTTTTTTGGAGCAATTCTGATGCTAAGTGGATTTGTTATATCTATTTAGCTTTTAAGCTCTAATTAGCTTAGAAACAATATTCTTTTGTTTCGTTTGTTTCCTATTTTTGTTGTTGTTGTTGTTTGAGACAGGGTTTCACTCTGTCGCTGAGGTTGGAGTGCAATGGCATGATCTCAGCTCACTGCAGTCTCTGCCTTCTGGGTTCAAGTGATTCTCCCACCTCAGCCTCCCAAGTAGCTGGAACTACAGACATGTGCCATCACACTCAGCTAATTTTTTTGTATTTTTTGGTAGAAATGGGGCTTCACCATGTTGGCCAGGCTGGTCTTGAACTCCTGACCTCAAGTGATCCACGTGCCTCGGCTCCCAAAGTGCTGGGATTACAGGCATGAGCCTCCGTGCCCAACCTTGTTTGTTTCCTGTTTTTTAAGCTTTATTGAGGTACAACTGACATACAAAAAAATTGCACACATTTAATTTATTCATCTTGATGAGTTTGGACATATGCATACGCACCCATGAAATCATCACTACAAAGATGGTACTAAGCATATCCGTCACCTCCAAAAATTTTGTGTTCTTTTGTGAGTTTGTCTGATTTTTAGTTGTTTTTGCAAAATCACTTAACATGACATCTATCCTCTTAGCATATTTTAAAGTGCACAATGCCATATTATTAACTGTAGGTATTATGTGTACAGCAGATCTCTAGGACTTATTAGAGAAGAGAAACTTTACTACCATTGAGGAACAATTCCCCATATCCCTTGCCCTCATCCCCTGGTGATTATCATTCTATTCTCTGTATCTATAAGTTTGACTATTTTAGGTACCTCATGTAAGTAGAATGTTTCTGTTTTTGTCCTTCTGTGACTGTCTTTTTTCACTTACCATTAATGTCCTCTAGTCATAACCATATTATTGCAAATAGCAAGACTTTTTTTCTTTTCAAAGACTAAATAATATTCCATTGTATGTACATACCACATTTTTATTCATCTGTTGATGGACAGTTGTGTTGTTCCCATATCTTGGCTACTGTGAACAATGCTGCAATTAACAAGGGATAGAAACACCTTTTTGAGATCCTGATTTCAATTATTTTGTATCTATACCCACAAGTGGGATTGCTGAATCATATGGTATTTTTTAATTTGGAGAGAAACATCAAACTTTTCTGTGGAGGCTACACCATTCTACATTCCCACCAACAGTGTTTAAGGGTGCCAGTTTCTCTACATCCTTGCTAACATTTATCTTTGGTTTGATTTGTTTCTTTGCTAGTTTGTTTTTTATAGTAGCCATCCTAGCCAATGTAGTTTTAATTCACATTTCTCTGAAGTGATGTTGAGCACCTTTTCATATACCTCTTGGCCATTTGTATATCTTCTTTGGAGAAATGCCTGAATAGACAATATGTTCTGACCTTAGAGAAGATCACAGTTAGGTCAGTGGAGTAAATCTGCTGACCTGACTGTGAGTGAAACAATTAGAATGAGGATGACTTGCAGCTCTCAAGACCAGCACTAAATACACATGGCCTGCCCTAAGATTTTATGACTGCTGCAAAAATAGGAGAAACTCAAATAACATTAAGTAAAGCCTCTTGTCTGTATGTGTTTCCTTGTTTAAGAAAACAAGCACACCATTTTAGCTACTGTTCCCTTTGTTAGCTATTGGCAAACTCTTTGTTACACCTTCCAATCACCAACGTCATGATTACTTTCTATTTGTATTATCCCTTTGATCATTTCCACACACTTTGATTAACTTAAAAAGAAGCATAGTTCAAGATGCTGCATGTTTTGATGCCAATTTTGGCCCACCTTTCATCTAAAGGGTGGGAAGAGCAGATTGCTGTATTTTTTGAGCATAATGTAGAGTATATGGAGCTTAGTAATAGCTCAAGTGCTTCATAAGTAATAAAATAAATACTTCTCACTTCTCTTGTCATCCATCTCCCAATTCTCTAATATTTTTGAAAAGCCTTATGGCTGGCAAAAATTGGTGATTATGCCCAGCTTAATTCTTACATCAAACATTACATCTTCCATTAGCAGGAGCGTAGGTGGGAAGTCTTTAGGTTAAGCCCATTCTCTGTAACATCCTGACCCAAGGGCAAAGAGACCATTACTGACACTGCTCTAATGGTTTTCTCCTGCTTTCTGTGACGCTAAAAGTCTGGAAGCTTAATTAGGAAAGGGCCAACAGATCACTTCATGGGTATTCCCCAAAGAGGGTCATTTGTGTTTTCACTGTGAAATACCATCTATATCCAATGGCCATTCAAAAATATGTAATCAACTACATTTAGTAAGCAACTACTGTGTGCCAGACCGTGTTTTGGATGTCAGGCTATTGTGTTAAACAAGATGGATAAAAATTCTTCCTCTACTAGTGTTTTCTCCCAGTGAAGAAAAGCAGAAAAAATAGAAATAATTAGATAAGAAATATCAGACAATTGCTATAAGGAGAATGGAAATATTTTATTGAGGGATGTCCATTTTATACTAGGTAGATAGGAAAGACCTGTGTTTGAGATGGTGACATTTATTATAAGAAGCAAGCTGCCATAAAATATCTGATAATAAACATTTCATGCAGAAGGAAGTTGGGGCAAAGGCTCCAGAACTTCATGAGTTTAACATCCTCTGGGAATAGATAGTGTGGCAGGAGCAGAGAGACCAGACGTGAAGACAGAGGAGGAACAATCATAAAGTGGGAAGAAAGCTAGATGGGATGGTGCCAGGCAAGGTTAGCCAGGAGAGCAGGAGCCAAAAAATGGTTTCAATGTTATTGCAACTAAGTGTAACTGAAAGTCTTAGAAGTGTTCAAGCAGGGTTGTAGTTTTGTACAACTTTTTTCTTTTCTAAAAAACGCCATTCTTTTCACGTTGTGGAGGATTAATTTTCTGAAAGGGGATGTGGTTAAGACTGGGTATGAAAGATCGGTTAGGAGACCACTGCAATAATCCAGGAACTACTAAACTCATCCTGGTTTAAACTGGGGTAGAAGTGATGATGGTGGAAAAAAGGGTAAGGGTTCAGGATATAGTCTAGCTATAAAGTTGAAAGAGTTGCTAGAGTTTTAGAAGTGAATAAGATAAAAGAAACAAGAAAATTATAATTTGTCTTTAACAACTTGGTAGTTTATTGAGATGAGGGGAAGAGTAGCATGGAGGTGTGAATTCTGTGCTTACACATTCCATTTAATGTGGAAACACACCCACAGCCACCTAGTCACATGTGCACAAGTGTGGACACACACATAATCTCTATTATGTTATATATACCATATACAATATGGTATGTACATGTTTATGTATATATTTGAGAGACAGATATAGGTCTGCGCTTTCACAGAGCCCAAGGTTTCAAGGCATTTCTTTCCTTTAAAATGCATTCACCAAGTTTAGTGGTTATATTGGTGTTGACAGTTTATTAATCCATATATATACACATATATATAATTCTATATTGTGGCAGTTATATTATTATCCAGAGAATGAGAAGTTATTCAAAGAGAATTTTCCAATGATTGCATTCAGAGCCTGTGGCATAACACTTAATATATGCTTCCTAATCACTTTTCCTTAATATGAGAATGCCTGATTAAATTATACACACACAAACCTGCATATGTATAAAAATACATTCCCATATGTATATACATATATATGTATTATGTATACTTATATGTAGAAATGCATGAAGTATTTTTTATTAAAATACATTTATACACTTTACTATTGGACAAAAAAAATTTACTTACACAGTTTTTAGCCCTTTCTATGGTTCTATGCAATTCTTGTTTATTTTCTTTATGCATAATTACTAATATTTTCTGCCCATGCCTATATCCTGAATGGTATTGCCTAGGTTTTCTTCTAGGATTTTTATGGTTTGGGGTTTACATTTAAGTCTTTAATCCATCCTGAGTTAATTTTTGTATAAGGTGTAAGGAAGGGGTCCAATTTCAGTTTTCTGCATATGGCTAGCCAGACTTTATGAAAAAAAAACAGCAAAAGCAATTGCAACAAAAGCCAAAATTTACAACTGGGATCTAATTAAACTAAAGGGTTTCTGCACAGCAAAAGAAACTACCATCAGAATGAACAGGAAACCTACAGAATGGGAGAAAATTTTTGCAATCTACCCATCTGACAAAGGTCTAATACCCAGAATTTACAAGGAATTTAAACAAATTTACAAGAAAAAAACAACCTCATCAAAAAGTGGGCAAAGGATATGAACAGACACTTCTCAAAAGAAGACGTTTCCATGCCAACAAACATGTGAAAAAAAGCTCAACATCCGGGCGCCTGTAGTCCCAGCTACTGGGGAGGCTGAGGCAGGAGAATGGTGTGAACCCAGGAGGCGGAGCTTGCAGTGAGCCTAGGTAGCGCCACTGCACTCCAGCCTGGGCGTGAAAGAGCGAGACTCTGTCTCAAAAAAAAAAAAAAAAAAAAAGCTCAACATCACTGACCATCAGAGAAATGCAAATCAAAACCACAATGAGATACCATCTCATGCCAGTCAGAATGGTGATTATTAAAAAGTCAGGAAACAATAGATGCTGGCAAGGCTGTAGAGAAATCGGAACACTTTTACATTGTTGGTGGGACTGTAAATTAGTTCGACCATTGTGGAAAACAGTATGGTGATTCCTCAAGGATCTAGAACCAGAGATACCATTTGACCCAGCAATCCCATTACCGGGTACATACCCAAAGTAATATAAATCATTCTACTGTAAAGACACATGCACACATATGTTTATTGCAGCACTATTTACAATAGCAAAGACTTGAAACCAACCCAAATGCCCATCAGTGATAGACTGGATAAAGAAAATGTGGCCCATATATACCATGGAATACTATGCAGCCATAAAAAAGAGAACATTTATTTTGCAGGGCATGGATGAAGCTGGAAGCCATCATCCTCAGCAAACTAACACAGGAACAGAAAACCAAACACCACATGTTCTCACTCATAATTGGGAGTTGAACAATAAGAACACATGGACACAGACAAGGGAATGACACACACCAGGGCCTGTTGGGGGGTAGGGGGTGAGGGGAGGGAACCTAGAGGATGGGTCAATAGGTGCAGCAAACCACCATAGCATACATATACCTGTGTAACAAACCTGCACGTTCTGCACATGTATCCCGTTTTTTTGTTTTCTTTTTTTAAGAAAAAAGAAAGATGTTTTCTGGAGAATGTTCTTGCTTTTTTTGAAAAGGTACATCTAGAACATCTGGCTCTCTCATATTTTATTGTCATAACTAGTAAACCGGAGTATTCATACCTACCAGAGTAACTTTTCTAAAACACATACCCAATCACATTTTCACCATCAAAGCTCTTCCCTGTCTTCTTACTGCCGTGAGACCAAGTTCTAACAATACTATAGGTTATATAAAGCCTTTTTTCACTCAGACTCTGGCTGCTTTTACAGCCTCTTCTATCATCAGACAAGCTAACATCCTGTGTTTTAGTTGTGAGAATCCTATGTGCCATTTGTGCCTAAAGATGCAGATGCCTGATTCTGTTTTATACCATTAACCCTTTGCTCAGCACCACTCTTTCTTCTTGCAAAGCATTTCCCTGTCCCTCAGCATTCCCTGCCCTTAGACCATTCCCAGTTTTATTTTATGTTATTAATTTTTTTTTAGAGACAGGGTATTGCTTTGTGGCCCAGGCTGGACTATAGTGATGCAATTGTAGCTCACTGGAGCCTCAAACTCCTGAGCTCATGAGATCCTCCTGCCTCAGCCTCCCATGTAGCTAGGACAACAGGCATGCAACACCATGCTCAGCTAATTTTATTTTTTATTTTCATACAGACATAGTCTTGCTATGTTGCCCAGCTGGTCTAGAACCACTGGTCTCAAGTGACCCTCCCTCCTTCACCTCCCAATGTGCTAGGATTACAGGCATGAGGCACCACTCCTGGCTTTATCTACAATTTTATACTTTTTACTCTGTACTCTGCTACTCATAGCTTGTTTATCCATCTCTGTCTTCTCAGAGCTTTGGACAGTCCTTGACCCATAATATGCATTTCAGTATATGTACAGATGAGCCCTCCATATCCCTGGGTTCTGCATCTAGAGATCCAACCTTCTACATCTAGAAAATGCTCAGGAAAAAATAATTTCACATGAGAAATAGAACTACCATTCCATCCAGCAATCCCATTACTGGCTGTATACTCAAAGCAAAATAAATTGTTCCACCAAAAAGACACATAAACCCGTATCTTCATCATAGCACTATTCACAATAGCAAAGATATGGCAACAACCTAGGTGCCCATAAATGGTGTATTGGAGAAAGAAAATGTGGTACATATACACCATAGAATACCAGACAGCCATAAAAAAGAATGAAATCATGTTCTTTGCAGCAACATGGATGCAGCTGGAGGCCATTATCCCAAGCAAATTAATGAAGAAACAGAAAACCAAATATTGCATGCTCTTACTTATAAGTGGGAGCTAAACCATGGGTACACATGCACATAAAGTTGGAAACAATAGACACTAGGGATCACCAAATGAGAGAGTGAGGGAGCGGGGGAAAGGGTGAAAAACTTCCTATTGGGTACCATGTTCACTAGCTGGGTGACAGAATCAATAGAAACTCACAAGTCAGCATCACACAATATATTGTTGTAATAAACCTGCACGTGTAACACTTGAATATAAAATAAAAATTTAAATGAAAAAAGAAGTTTCACAAAGCTTCATAAAGCAAAGCAAACTTGTCATGCATGAAGTATCACACTGAATCCATATGAATGAAGTGATATGTGGCATTATGTCAGGTACTATAAGTAATCTAGAGGCAGGACCGTATATAACATTGAAATGAACTGAAACACAGTGTCACATCTTCCATAAAGATTTCTTAAACCTCTTTCCCGTGTACTCTCCATCTTGTGTCTCCACTATATCTCATGCATAAGCTGACAAAGCACCTCAGTCACACTACTGTCTTCTCTGTTAGTCTATGCGTTCCTTAAAGAATCCTGTTTTATGCTTTCATCTTCTGTGCCTAGAACAGTACCTAGCATAAAGTATCATGGAAGACACAAAATAAGAAAATAATTACATAGTGATATAATTTGACAAGGTCATCAGAATCAGAAATGAGGTAATGTGAAGTTTTCAACTGTCTTTAACAAAATAAAAGACTTAAAAATATCTCATCAATGACCACTTTTATGATACTAACTTTTCTATTTGGCACAACAGTAAAGAAAATAAACAAAAAAGGGCTGTACCAATACTAAATTCATTCAACCAAATTTTATTGATCACTTTTTCTGTACGAGATGTGATTTCTGAATTCAAAGTGATTACGGCCCAAAGAGTGGGATGTATACATAAATTACCACCACACAGGGGTCATATGATAATTATCATTGAAAGGCTAGAAAAGCTCACAAGAAATAAACCAGAAGAGTTTCAATCTGAACAGACCATGAAAGGCTCACAACAAAGATGGCCTCTGAGCTTGACCTGGAAAAGACAACAGGAGTTTTAAAGATAACAGCAAAATGTGGAAAGCATTTCAGTAGGAGGATAAAACAGCATTTGTAATCACATAGGAGAAGGAAATAGGAACTTGAAAAAAAAAATTGTCACCAAGCAGTTCTAAACCAGAGATGTCCCTCTCTTGCCCAGGCTGAAGGGCAGTGGTAAGATCTTAGCTCAGTGAATCCTCAACCTTCCCGGCTCAAGTAATCCTCCCACCTCAGCCTCCCAAGTAGTTAGGACTACAGTTGTGGGTCACCATGCCCGGCTATTTTTTTTTTTTTTTTTGTATTTTTTATAGAGATAGGGTCTCGTTACGTTGCCCAGGCTGGTCTCAAACTCCTGGGCTCAAGTGATCCTCCTTCCTCGTCCTCCCAAGATGCTGGGATTATAGGCATGAGCCACTGCTCCTGGCCCACACATGGATATTTTAGATCAGTAGGACTAGATAGAGCCAACGGTGTATTTTTTGAAAAGGTTCCACTGGTGATCTGAGGCCAGTCATTGGCAGAGGATGTGAAAGGCAAATAAAGGCGACCATGTTAGAGATGCAATTAATAATCTGTAGAGGTAGGAGTCAACTCTTCTTTTTTTTACTGAAAAATAAAAATGAATACATTTATGGTGTACAACATGTTTTGAAATATGTATACATTGTGAAATTGCTAAATCAAGCTAATTAACATATGCATTACCTCACATACTAGTTATTTTTTGTGGTGAGAAAACATCAAATCTACTCTCTTAGTAATGTTCAAGTATATATACTACATTGTTATAAACTAGAGTCACCATGTTACACAATAGATCGCCTGAACTTATTTGTTCTATCTAACTGAAACTTTTTATCCTTTGACCAACATTTCCCCAATCCCCCCCACTCAGCTCCTGGCAAACACTATTTTACTCTCTGCCTCTGTGACTTCCACTTTTCTACATTCCACATGTAAGTGACATCATGCAGTATTTGTCTTTCTGTGCCTAGCTTATTTCACTTAATATAGTGTCCTCCAGTTTCAATCATGTTGTTACAAATGAATTTCCTTCTTTTTTAGGGCTGAATAGTAACCCATTGTATATGTATGCTACATTTTATTTATCCATTCATGACAGGCATCGATTCTTAAGCTAAGTGTTTGGAATTTTAAATTGGGAGCCATCATTCCTCCAGAAACTTAAAATCTAGTTAGAGAAATCGGACACTACTTCAAGACAAGCATTATCACACTTTGGATTAAGTGCTAAATGAGAGATATAGACTATGTTTGCTATGGAAACTCAGAGAGGAGCTAATTTAGTTAGGGAAGACTTGATGAAATTGTACTAACTGAGCCTGGAAACATTAAGTCTGGGATGGCAGATGCTTGGCCACGATTGAGCCCACAACTCCTTCCCAGACCATACAAGACATAGGTAAGCATGGCAGAGTCTTTCCAATTTAACCCAGACAGAGCATCAGAATCCTTCTCAACATAGTCCACTCCAATTGGGTAGAGTTGGCCTTCAAGGTAAAATTCTTTGGCATCCCTGATATAAAAAAGCAGAGAGGAAAGTTAAATGCATTTCAAGCAGGAGTAAGAAATGTAAGCCAAAGCGGAGCCAGCCAAGTTCATAGCATGTTTTCAGCTTGGAAAGCAGAAATCACATAGGATAGAAATAAGAGAAAACTTTAGATTGCTAAGGGCTGTAACAATTGCCTCATTTTTATACTGCTTTCAGGTTACTAGGGTCTATTATCCAATTGCCTACTTATGTAATGTTCTCGTATGTGTACTTGTTTCATTCCTTATTTCCTAGGCTATAATTGAAGCTGTATGTAAAGAAAAAAAAATGCACTGCCCTCTTTAGCCTTCAGCCTATGATTTCTGCATTCTATCTTTTCCTACATGGTGCCATTTCTCAATGCGGTGTCTCCAGAAATCTCCTCCCTCTCTTGAAGCCCCACCCCCACCCCATCAAAAACTCTGGCCAAAAGTAAGGGTAAATTCACACTAAAATGTAAATGACTGATATGACTCAAACCATTAGTATTCCCTGTTTCAAGGGTACTGAGCTTTTTTAATTTTATTTGTGCAAATTTATGGAGTACATGTACAATTTTGTTACATGTATAGATTATATCATAGTCAAGGCAGGAATTTTAGGGTATCCACCACCAAAGTAACATACATAGTACCCATTAACCAATTTCTTATCATCCTCACCACCACTGTCCCCCCGCAACTTCCTCACCCTTCCCAGTCCCCATTATCTATTGTTCTACTCTTATGTTCATGTAAGCACATTTTTTAGCAGCCACTTATAAGTGAGAATATATGATATTTGTCTTTCTGTGCCTGGCTTGTTTCACTTAAGATAATGACCTCAAGTTCCATCTATGTTGCTGCAGAAGATATTATTTTATTCTTTTTTATGGCTGAGTAGTATTCCATTGTGTATCTATACATGCCATATTTTTTAATCCATTTTATCCATTGATGGACATTTAGGTTAATTCCATACCTAGGCTATTGTGAATAGTGCTGAGATAAACATATTAGTGGAGGTATCTTTTGATATATTGATTTATTTTCCTTTGAGTAGATACTCAGCAGTGGGATTGCTGGATCAAATGGTAGTTCTATTTTTAGATCTTTGAGAAATCTCCCTACTGTTCTCCATGGAGGCTGTACTAATTTACATTCCCACCAACAATGTGTAAGCGTTCCCTTTTTTCCACATCCTCATGAACATGTTACATCTTGCCTTTTTAATAATAACCATCCTAACTAGGGTAAGATGATACCTCATTGTGGATTTGATTTGCATTTATCTGATGATTAGTGATGTTGGGCACTGTTTCTTATACCTGTTGGCCATTTGCATGTCTTCTTTTGAAAAATGTCTATTCATATCCTTTGAAGGGCACTGGCCTTTTAATAGAAAGACAGAGGCCTTAAACTAAGCAGACTATCACAACCATGGCACTATTACATTTTGAACCAGATAAGTCTTGATTGTGTGGGCTGTCCTATACATTGTAGGATGTTTAGCAGCATCTCTGACCCTCTTACCCATTAGATGCCAGTAGCATCCCCCAGTCCTGACAACCAAAAAAGTCTCCAGACATTACTACATGTCCCCTTGGCAACAAAATCACTCCTAATTGAGAACAACCAAGTTAATGTAATACGTCTCATAATATACAATTTGTTATATTTGGATACTCCTGAAATCTCTTTATCAGGCAACTAACAAAGCTGACCCAGACTCTATAAATCAACCCTTGCTGGTTGTCAAACTAGCAACATCCAATGAAGCTTTAAAAACTCAATGATTTTTTTTTTTTGAAAGGGTTTCTTGGCATCAATTCAAATAGAAACCAACGTAAATTGACATTCGTACTGACATTCCATGCATTATCATTGGCTTAACGTTTGGGAAGACAAGTTTTGCAAAACATTGTGGTAAAAGATGCTTTGTATAAATAAAGACAAATAGAGGGTTTCAGGCAAAACACAAAGACTTTGTCAGTATTTCCCATGAGCCATAAATAGTCTGACATTCTAGTCTGACAATGGAGAGCCTAATATCAAATATATTTCAACATGTGTTTGAAAGGATTTCCTATGCTTTTAAACATCAGGCAATATATTTGCTACTTTTCAAGAAGTGCAAATATAAATACTAAAACACTATTTTTTTTACTTCCTAGCATTCCCTTTTTATATTTTTAAGGGCTTGACACACATTTCCAATGGTTAATTAACAGAATAAGACATATGTCAGAATGAAATAACAATTTCATTTGTAACACTAGAATTTCATGTTGATGAATACCAAATTTTCATTTGATCAGAATTATCTAAGAAGTAACAGCCCTGATATGTCTAAAATAGTTTTAGATTCTTAACTATACTTAACAACATCTTAGTTTTTACCTTCTATATTCTTGGTATTAAAATAGAAATATTCATCCACCCTGAATGAACATATGCAAGTCATTTTTATAAGTTAGTTTATACTATAAGTATACCATAACATCTCTGGACAAGTGCTTCCACTCTTAAGCTAAGGATTCGGGATTTAGAATTGGCAGCCATCTTTCCTCTAAAACTTAAAATCTAGTTAGAGAAATTGAACGCTGCACAAAAAACATTAATACACTTTGGGGTAAGTACCAAATGAGAGGTATAGACTATGTATGCTAAGGGAATTCTAAGTATTATGGGGTAAATATTATGATTATATTGCTAGAAAACTTGACTACCTTATTGAGAGAGTATTATTATTCCAAAGTGGTTGAAAGCATTGACTTTAGGGCCAGAGGGCCTGGGTTTTTACCCTAGTTTCACCCTTATTGGCTGTGTGGTTTGACACATCTTGCTTATACTCTCTAGGCATCCATTGTCTTATCAGCATAATGAGTAAAATACTAGAACCTCCATGAGAAGGTTGATAAGAGAAGATATGAGTATTAAATTGATTGATCTATGCAATGTGCTTAGAACAATAGCTGGCAAACAGTAAGTGCTACGTAAGTGTTTGCTACTGTTATTCATTAAAAATCAAACAGTGCAATGTGTCTGTCTGAGAGGCAGACTAGTAGAATAGTTAGGAATCTGACCTGGGTCAAAACATCAGGTGCTTCACCTCTTATCAACTTTTGGCAAGTCATATGACTTTTCTGAGCTTCAGCTTCCTCACCTCTGCAATGGAGATAATAACTGTATCTAATTCTTGGGGTTATTTGAGAAATAAAAGTAATAATGCACATCGAGTGCATGGCAACATGCCTGTTGCGGTACTCAATAAATGTTTCTTTTTAATGTTTACATGTACATTAGAAACAGAAGGGAAAAAGGAGGAGAAAGAATTCGTCTCTACAGTCATTTCAACAAATTCTTACTTAGTGTCTCCTGTGTGCCAGGCAGTCGGCGATATGAAGGTGAACAAAGCTGAGTATGGTGGCTCACACCTGCAATCTGAGCACTTTGGGAGGCCAAGGAGGGAGGATCACTTGAGCCCAGAAGTTCAAGACCAGCCTGGGCAACATAGTGAGACCTGTCTCTATAAAAAACTTAAACCTTAACCTGGCATGGTGGTGTACACCTGTAGTCCCAGCTGCTTGGGGGATGGAAATGGGAGGATCACTTGAGTGCAGAAGGTTGAGGCTGAAGTGAGCCACGGTCATGCCACTGCACTCCAGCCTGGACAACAAAGCGAGACTCTGCCTCAAAAAACAAACAAACAACAACAAAGGTGAACAAGACATGATTTATGTTATAAGAAAGGCGGGCTCTGAAAAGAGTTCCCAAATTCTCTAAAATTTGACAAAGGTAGTAGTTGTCGCAGTGTTTTCTGTTCATTTATAGAGAGTTTTATCAATAGCATCTAATCTGCTTGTGGTTCTCCTTTTGATTTCTAGTGCTTCTATTCACTCATCTGTTTATTCCTGTAACTGGTATTTATTGAACATCTGTTCTGGGTCAGAGGTGGTGCTAGACCAGGGTACACATACAAGAGTGAGTAAGAGAAACATATTTCTGAAACAAAGGAAAATTAAAATCCAAAACAATATGTGATTAAATAAATCCATGTAAGCATATTAAGGGACTACTGGAAGAAAAGGAGGATATTCTCAGTAGGAATAAGAGTTTAGTTAGTCACCAATTAATAGTAATGTGTTAAGTGAAGAGAAGATGCAGCAAACACTGTTTCTATCTTTGCTAACTTTAAAAATGGAACAGTAATTGCTGAGATAGGTTATGAAAGTATGGCAATTCTAGAATGAGGTTACCTAAGACAGCATTCAGTCACGACTCTGCAAGTGTGTAGTTTTGGTGTCAGAATGGTTTATTTCTGGTTCTAGGATAAGAAAGTCAGACTAAAAGATAGGGTGCTTGAGTTCTAATTCTGATTCTTTACAACCTTAGACAATCTCAGAGCCCCTGTGTGTATCTTTGTTTTTGCATTCTTTATATGGGAACCATGACACTTGGACTTTCTACTTCACAGGACTATTTTAAAGCCTCAAGGCAGATGATATATACCACTGTCTTAAAAACATCATATAAATGAAAGGGACTGAGACATTTTAAGGTCATAATACAGGGTTTGCAAAAAGAATGCAAAGGTATCACTTGAAAATAAAATAATTTTAAAAAATTCAACTCAAATCCATGTGCTGGTTGTTCATGATCTAAATTATATTTAAATTAGTGCATGTTCTATGTGCTGTGTTGCAGTGAGGCCAGCATTGTAGAAAAAGGCACCTTCCACGCTAGATAGAGTTTGCATTTTCTTTAATGTACAGGAAGGCAGCTGTAGCTTCCTACTGCAAATGCAAGGCTAACTTTTGTGGTGTCCGGCAATATTAGAAATCTTCTTTTCTTCTCTTCCCTGAATGTTGAGTGATCTGGGATGAAAAACTAACAAGCGCCTGTCAAATCTGAAGCCTCAGCTTTTCTGACAGAAGGTCCACTGGACTTTCTTATCAAGAGAGCCTTTACAAGGAAGCTGGAACTCTCTCTCTCCCAGAAAGGAAACAGAGCTCATCAGAATCTCTGGACCCTTGACTTAGAGGGCATGCTGTCTCCAATGAAGTTCTTTTTTATTCAGATTTGACTTCACATTATGGCTAATCAATACCTCACAACTGTCCATGCCCCAGTCAGATGCACGTCTCTCCATCAGGCAGGGAGGCTTCCTAATTGAGAAAAAGTCAGAGACCCAGGTACCAAGCCCTCAGGCCATAGTCCGGCACCCACTCTCTTTTCATAGCATTCTAGAGATGGTGGAAATAAAATTTAGAGACATGACAGGCACAGCCAAGGAGGATCAATTCCTGTCACTTGCCACCAGTGTTTACTGCTTCCCCAGGTCTTCAGAGGGTGTTTTTCTTTCATAGCTTAGAGGAACTTAACCTTTTAAAAATGGGAAGATGGTGTCCTCATGAATTTTAAATTATTTTTATCTCCAGTGACTAGAATTGTTGATTAGATTAAAATGATTTTTTGTTTTCTCCCCCTACCCCAATACCAAATTTTGTTCAGTCACACATGGCTGCAGGAAAATGTAAATGATAGTACTCATATTTGTGGCTACAGATTGAAGGAGACCTATTAGTAAGTACTTGTGTAATAATGTGCCTAAAGAAAATAGCACATTTTCATAACTTCAGTATTGAAGAGGAAGTAGACAAATTTTATTCTCAAATTTGTGACTGATGTTATCCAATCTATTTACTTATCTAGAAATGATTAAATGAGGTCCAATATCTTGGTGAAACATAAAGCACCTGGCTATTATTTCTAGTTATTTGATAATATGCAAATGCTGTATAATAAGAGATCTGCAGAAGTAAGATTATTTTTAACTTTTCATTTAATTATTTGAGTATCTTTCAAGCATGACTTAATTTCTCTGTATTTAGACCAGAAGAGAAAATATAATTTTGAAAGTATTTTTGAGACAGTTACATAAAAATTTCTGCATCATCAATAAGTCTATGATTTTATTGCATTTTTATGACTAGTAAACAAAACTTGTTCAAAATACTAATATTCCTTGTGGTTTATGATAGCCTTACAAATAGATAAAAATCTTCTCTCGTCAACCCCAGGAATACTACAACCAAAGAGTAAAAACATTAGCTGGTTAGCCAATCAATATGTGTTATAATTTTGATTAGACTGATTTAGTTGTTTCCCATCCCCTTTGCTGTATATTTACATGCATATGAAGTTGCCTACATTGTTGGATATTGAGTAAATAAAAGTGGCAACATTTTCTAGCTGACAAAAATGTTTTACAAAGCAACTTTCCAGAAGGTAATATGTAAGAAGAAATTTAGATGAGGTCTCTATTCTTTGCTATTACCCTAAAAAGAAATTTTTACCCACACAAAGAAACTCACATTTAAAAGACAGAATTTGGGACTTCATGAAATTAACCAGCATGTTTAAGGAATTAAATATCTAGATTTTCAGGTTAAGTTTTTAAGCAGAGTTATTATTCCTCCCAAGATTTTTAGCTATGAAATCTTTCTAAGCCATACTACACATTCCTGCTTTAGTTAGACCAGTGTGCTGAATGGAATCTATTTTTCTTTGATGAATCATGAAAGAATTCAAAGTCCTTTGGGCCTCAGGATCATTATTTTTAACATCAGTTCTCCCTGAACAGAAATATGGGGATAAAGATCTAAAAAATTTAGTAGCATGGATATCAGTCCTCAGGACATATCCCATAAGCTGCTCTTTAAAAAAAAATAATAATAATAATAAATAAACCCCTATTGCCCATTTAATTTATTTCCACTTGCCTCTTTCTCCTAGGTTGATTGCAAAAAAGTCAATTGAGTGAAGTTTCTGGTTAACTACCCACTCATCAATCTAGACTTTTCCTATGCTATGTGTCTACATTTTAACCAGCATTTGTATGAGCTGAGCAATTTTTATAAGTTGAAAAATACATACAGCCAAACTAACTTCAAAGAAACCTGACTGTATGTTGAGCAAAACACCTTCTGGGGAATCTCACTGGCATGAGATAGCTGACCTTGTGTGCCCTGTTCCAATGATTCATAGAAGATACCCATACTTAATAGAAGCTCTTCTTGAAGTCTTGGAATAGGTCATCTACCTCCTCTGGGTTTAGAAAATATCTATGTATTCTAACTCAAGTACCTATCATTATTCTCTTACAGAAGCTTCTATGTGTTCTTTAATTTTTTGAATTGTTGCCTTGCTGAAAAGAGTAACACAAAGAGGCCTTTTGTAATGAGGTGTTATCTCAATATGGTAACCTTCCCTCCCCCCCAGTGTGATTTTGATGTTCGGTCTCCTACTTAGTTCTAGAATTCGGAAGATTGCATTGTATTTTGAGGCTTTTGTTATACCTGTCTATCTTTTCAATAAGATTCCATTAATTATATTCCATTCTTTCCACTTTGATATCTCATTAAAATCTTATAAATGATCATGCAGTGACCTTGAAGGCTATGCATAATACATGAAAGTAAACCTGCAGTAAAATGTATTCTTTCACTCCTGACTGGCTACATCCCACGCTTCTTTTCCTCTCCCAAGTGACTCCAATTGGGAGAGCTTTGCTAACTGAGCCAAGGTATGCAGGGATGCGCACATCTCCCAGCTCCAGTATCTTTCTTAGTCATGACAGCTGCAATATGTTAATGGCTTCTGTTTGGATGTGATGGCCTGGTTACTACTTAGGGCACTATGCTAATTAACATAGGATGGTGACAACAGGTGCAAATGTCATTTTACATCAGCATCATGCACATGCAAAGATAGCTAGCAGCCCAGAAGCAAGCCAAGAAAATGTTAACTTGAGTCAGCAGCCTTGCAATCTCTGAACAGATCATCTTTAATGCCTATGATTAAAGGATTCACGGGGCTGCTGATGCTTTTTTTTCCCCTGCAAGAATGATATTTCTGAATATATGGGATGTCTTCATAAGCTTTTTAAAGTTATGTTTCAACAAAATGCACTTCTATGGCAGATAAGTAAAATGCACAAGGTGTGTATTTATGAAGGTTTCCTTATTGAATAAAAGTTCTGCTGAGCCACATTTATTGCACTGAGCATCATCTGAAATGGACATGGTTTTGCACAAAGTGAAATCCTATCAGTTGGCACTGGGTGATTTTCCCAGCAGATTTACTGCATTTTACTTTATGTATTTGTATGTTTATTTGGAGATTTGGTTTTTTGAGTCATATTCTTCTTACATTTTAATGAAATTGAATAAAAGTGGAAACATAGAAATTCCTCTTAAGACATTACTGCATATATTCAACTTAACAATGAAATAGGTTCTTTACCCAAGTAAAGGGAAAATTCACATACTAACATCTTAAATAAGTAACAAATAATCTTATTCTCTAAAACATAATTTATTATCATTTATACCAAATGATCTAGCTTATGTTTAATAAAGATCACTGATATACTTTACAAATTGTCCCAAAGAGATTTGTTCATTTACTTCTCTTTAACAATTCAAATTCTGAGATTTATATTTATTGTACAATCCAAGAACATTGGAGATTAACAAAGACAGGTGAGAAAATCTTGGTAATAACACAAATACATCCTATGGGTTGAATTGGCTACCCTCGTTCCCCACTCACTAGCTGTGAAACCTTGACCACATCACTTTCTCTCTGAGCTTCATTCAGGTTCCTTATTTGTAAAACAGGAATGCTGGAATTACCTCAGGTATTACAGAATCGCAATTGGGATGCTGAATTAAATTCAATTTAGAAGATTTGCATTTTGTTTGTATCTCTGCAATAGCAGTACTAAGTATACCATGATTATGTTTACATGTCATTAACAGGTAAACTTTGGAGCTACTCCAAGCCTAAGACTATGTCAGATTTACCTTTTTATTTCCACCTGGCACAATGCTTGAGCATAATGGGTGTTCAAAAGTACACTAAATGGATTTGTAAATAACTATATCAGTGGTTCTCAAGCCTTTATGCCTGGGAACCAAAAAAGCTTTTACTTACATTGATATTTATAGTACTGAAAATTAAAACTGAGAATTTTTTAAATACTAATTTATTGAGTAATTAAAATGACTTAATAAATAAACTTACTATACAGTAACATACTAACATATTTTTATTAACACTTATATTTTCCAAAGCAAAAAAATTTGTAAGAAAAGAAGCAGTTTTAAATTTTGTAAATTTCTTTAGCATCTATCTTAATAGAAGACAGCAAGATTTTAATGTCTGCATCTGCAGACATGTGGTGTGGGGACTTCAAAGACCTCCTAAAATCGTCACAGGGATCTCAGAGTTCCCCAACCACACTTTGAGAACCACAATGAGTCTCTAAAAAGGCAGAATCCAGAAAATCCAGTATGTTGGCAACTTATGTAACTGCAATCCAAGTGCATTTTGAAGAGCACAAAGGGATAAACAAAAATCATGTGGTATGAATCATTAGCCGTATCGTAGAACAGAGAGCATCAATTCCCAGTAGTTTCATGGTTCCAGAACTTTATTATTAAACATTTTTAATTAATATCTTCAGGAGTATTACATAGAACTTAAGAATCTGAATTTTTGCATTAGGTGCAGCTATGGTCAAATCCTGTGTCTGTGACTGTGTGACTTGGATAAGCAACTTTACCTCTCTCAGCTTTGTTTTCCTCTTTGGAATAATATAAGTAATAATTTCTGCCTCTGAGTGTTACTGTGAAAACTAAATATGATCCTGCAAATATTTAACACAGTGTCTGGGACAGAGTAAACTTCAATGAATGTTAGTGACTAGCAGAGAGAGGAAAAGAAGATGGGATCTTCCTATAAAGGAAGCTCATTCTCTTATAGCCCTTTTAACACATTACAACTCTGTTAAGCCGTGACTATTGTTTTAAAGAAATTTAGTCAAAACACACAAAGAAAATATAAATAAAAAGCAAGGAATGCCATTTTTCACTTATGTGGTTTAAAACTTTAAAGCGAATTCTGTTCATAACCACCAGCCAAACTTCTCGTAACTATTCTTCCTAGTTCATTTTTTGCACCTCATATGCTTGCAAACCTGGATTATTCCAGCCACCACTCCCCACCAATTCTACTGTCCATCCAGCCTCTGACTCCCTCCCCCACCACTTCTGGTCCACCAACTTTTTTCTTCATCTGAGACCTCTCCCTCAACCTCCAGCCTCTTAGATCTATTGTTTTCCTGCCTGTGCTCGGTTTTGGCATTCCAAACTCCAGGAACCACTGTGGCCAAGACAGATATCCACGGAAGGGAAAAACAAGGAAGAGTAGGAGGAAGGCAGACAAGCAGGAATGAAATTGGATTGAATGAGAAAAGAACTATAATTCTCTGAACATTCCTGTATTCGGTAATTTTATGATTTCCCAACATCCAGATATTTATTGCACACCTCCTATATGTCCATTGCCATGTTAGATGCTGGAACAAAACAGACACTGTCTCATTACTCAAGAAACTGAGTGTAGGAGGAGGTAAGCTGAAAACCTGCGACCACAATGAGCCCTCACCAAAATTCATGTAAATGCTTTTTTGAGTTTTATTTTTGATATTAAACAGAGAATAGCAGAGGAAACAGACAGAAGGTAAAGAGAGCAGACAGGCAAATGCCTTTCAACGACACTCAGTAGAAAGCTTATATGTATTTAGCCCAAAACACAGAGTAAACTATCCCCACACACTCCTTTAAATGAGGCAGGATAGTTTCTAATATATTTTTTACATTCTGTCAATCCTGTCTCCCTGTGAGTTCCCTTTCATTAAATCAATGGCATTTCTCACTTTCAAGATGAGTCACAGTCTAAAACAAAGCAGTTCTTGCCCGGTTTTAAGTCTCCAATTAGACTTTTTTCTAAGATTATAGCCTTAAAAGTCAGATTTGTTGAAAAAGAAATGGATTTTCTAAGTTCTAATAGCTTGAGAGCAATACAAATCCAAAACAAACCTGGGAGATTAGAGCACAGGGTAGTGTAGAGAGGTAGAGAGATATAACTTCAGACCAACTTTCCCACAACAGTAAAAGGAAATAGAAGTTTAGTCAAATAGAAAAGTAAAGATGACTGGAGGGGGCAAAACAGCCTTAGATTCTGCCAGGATCCTCAAGAAGAGACTCTGTCCTGATGCCACACAGCACCCCTCCCTCTTTCCTCTGCTGACATCTGCCCTCACTTCCCAAAGACGTCTGTTCCTCTAGGCCTTCGTTTCCTCATCATGAAGTTCAGAAGAAAAGACTGACCTAATTGGTAGGGTTGTTGTTGTGAGGACTGCATTCGATAAGTGCTTAAAACAATGCCTGATATGGGAATCACTTAACAAAAATTGGCTGTCATTATAAACAGTATTATGATTATTGTTGTTTTTATCCACATTTAGTTGTGTGTAATCAGCTCCAGTGACCACACTGAGAAGAGAATCAGAGACACTGTGGGAGGAAAAAATCATAAGGTGTTGGAAAGGGAAATTAGCATGTTAGAAGATACCTTTTTTTAAATTTTATTCAACTGAATATTAATTGAACACCTATTAGTGCAGGTCCCTGACCAGGATGTAAACATAACCACAAAGGACCAGCTGAATCCTAACCAAACCCACCTGCCCTGAAGGAAACGAACGCTCCCGCAGACTACAGATAGCAAATGCTGCTCTCTTCCTTCCTGCAGCAGCATTTACCACTGGTCGGATGACCAGTAAGAACCAACAGAGATTGTCAGGAAGCCTCATCCTTCCCTTCCCTCCACACTGGGGCTCACTCACTCCACCCTCCGTTGGTCCCCTGTCACCAAGAAAGCAAGGCAGCAGTAGAAAGAAGGGTCTGTTTTATGAAAGTTGTGTTGCTATGGAGGTAGATTATAGACAATAATGACTCATGTCAGGCATTGCAGGATTTTGAAGAAAGAAATAAAATAAGTTTTAAGGCTTTTTGTAGAATATGGAGTTTCCTTTATAGGCAAGGAGAATTTGACACAGAAGTTACCCCCCAAATTTGTTCTAAAAGTTTCACTATTTTGAAGTGCACATTTAAAAACACAAAACTGAATGAGGACCTCACACGTCTTTACTGACTCCTCACTTGCACAATTCTTTTTTTTTTGTATTTTTATTTTTTTTTATTTTATTATTATTATACTTTAAGTTTTAGGGTATATGTGCACAATGTGCAGGTTAGTTACATATATATACATGACTTGCACAATTCTTGAGCCTATGTGCTCTAGAGTTGTAGTAACTCGTATTACCATTCCAATCCTAACTGGCTTCCATAATTCCACCCAATCCATTTCTCACTTGACTATCATATAAATAATGTACAGAGGACTGCAGAAGCCTCATGTCTACCTACGGATACATGGGAATCACTTGGAATACAGGAGCTATTGCTGAGAATTGTTTTCTCACTGCAGCTTATTTCTTTATCTTATGCTTCTGTTTTCCACTCCTAACTATTTATTCCTCTTAGAATTCTTTTTTCGTCCATTAAATATGTATATTATATACCAGAAAGTTATTACTGTGCTTTTCTGTTGCACTTCTCTAGCCATGGATCTGTCTTTTCATCATTAGCATTAGGCACTCTCAGGTTCAAAATATTTGGTGAAAAGAATTTATTGGCTTTTTCTCATCATGACTTATGAGGTGAAATTAAAAGTTCATGTTTATTTCACATATAAGTAACTTTTCCCATGATCCAGTACATGTAGGATTACAGGATGAGAGGCCAGACATAAGTTACTTTTGTTTTGCAATTTTTTTTTCTTTCGAGACAGAGTTTTGCTTTTGTTGTCCAGGCTGGAGTGCAACGGCTCTATCTCGGCTCACCGCAACCTCTGCCACCTGGGTTCAAGTGATTCTCCTGCCTCAGCCTCCCGAGTAGCTGGGATTACAGACATGTGCCACCATGCCCAGCTAATTTTTTTTGTATTTTTAGTAGACAGGGTTTCTCCACGTTGGTCAGGCTGGTCTCGAACTCCCTACCTCAGGTGATCCACCCACCTCGGCCTCCCAAACTGCTGGGATTACAGGCTCCTGGCTCATTTTGCATCTTATCACACATGGCTGAACACCACATACATGCAACAGCCACTTTGTAAGTGGGCACTAGCTAGGAGAGAAAAGAAAGGGGATGAGAAAGGAAAAGAAGAGTGAAAATGGAATGGGAGCAGCCGCCCCTGCATCCGCATATACTGGCAACCTGCCTGTTGGCCAAGCTCAAATTATGTGTTTTCCAAGGGCACTCTGTGCAATGAATCCCCTAGTCTGTCAATTTATTAATGAGATCTTTTAAAAAATAAACTTTTGTATATACTTTTTTTAAGCTACAACATTTTAAAATAGAGACTGTTGACCTAAAAATAATTAACCTGTGGAATTTCTCCCTGGAAAATTATCAAATGCCACTGGATTTTGGAAATGAGTAGCTCAACATCTTATCCCAAATGGACTCTGAAATATGAGATGATACTTTCTGACTGTTTAGATTTGAACATTTTGTCTCAAGTAATTTGTTGACAGTTCTCGTTACTAGTGCTACATAATAAATTATAGTCATTCCTCTATATCCGTGGGTGACTGGTTCCAGGAACCCCTGCAGATACCAAAAATCTGCAGACATTCAAGTCTGCTATATAAAATGGTGCGGTTTTTGCCTATAACCTACACACACCCTCCTGTATACTTGGCATTATCTCTATCTCTATAGCTAATACAATGTAAATGTTGTATAAATAGTTGTTATACTGTAATTTTGTAATTTTTTTTTTGAATGTTTGATCTGCAGTTTATTGAAACCAGGGATGTGGCCCATAGATACAGAGGGAGGGGCAACTGTAACCCAAAACTTAGCAGCAAGCATACACATTATATTGAGCTATTAGGTTCTGTGAGTCAGTAATTCAGGCATGGCTTCCTGGGAATGGCTTGTCTCTGCTCTGTAATGTCAGGGTTCCCAGCTAGAAGACTCAAAGGCTGGGGGTGAATCAATAACTGGGGGCTGAAGTCATCTGGAGGCATCTTCGCCACATGCCTGGTGGTGGATGCTGGCTGCCACCTGGCACCTCAGCCTGTTGGCAGGAGCACCTACAAGTGGCCTCTACCTGTCCCTGGGCTTCCTCATTGCATGGAAGCTTAGGATGATTAGACTTCTACATGGCGGGTCAGGGTTTCGGGAGTTGAGTGTCCTGGCCAACAAAGCAACGCCGCAATGTCTCTTCTAACTCAGCCTCAGAAATCACACGCGTTACTTCCACTGCATTCTCCCATCGATAAGCAACTCACAAGTGGCCCAGGTTCACAGAGGAGAGAATTTGACATTCTTTCCTGAAAGGACTGTGGCAAGGTTCTAGAATAGCATGTAGGATACGAAGTTGCATTGCAGCCCTCTTTGGAAAATTCAATCTGCCACCTCAATTCAAGAAAATCACTGATGAGAAATAATGGGGAAAACATCATTTGACTCACTCATTACTCAGTATATACCAATTCCAGTTGATTGATTCAGTTTTTCACTTGTTAATCAGTTGTTTTGTATTTGGAAGGTCCAATAAAATCTCCCTTTCCCCCTTGTATTCTTTTTCATTTAAAAAAATAGTGTTGAGAAAAGATAAACAATGTATAAGAAAGCAGAAATTCCTAAATGATACTTCAGAATAGCTTAACTAAGAAAATTATTTTGTGAAAATGCAAATTGAAAAATACATTTTAGGATTTTGTGCTTGTGTCATGAAAGGCAAGATTCAGACTTCAGACTCTGTGAGCTGGGAGGTTTTAAAAGATTCTAGAACAATTAGAGAGACTGGAAGTCACTTCTTAAGCCATGGCTAGAAGATTTCTGGCAAGAAGAAATTAATACATTCCTCAAAATATGGATATGTGTGTGAGCATAGCTATAAGACATATGCACTAGAATACTGCACTGGTAAAATGGTAAATAGATTTCCTAAAGTATTAAAATATTATGTGTCCTCTGAGAGGAAGCTTGGCTCTGTGTAATTACTAATCTTTGCTAATTTTTGTAATCCTTTGCATTTCAGATATTATTTGGCAATATAACCCTGAATGTTTAAGCTCTCACGTTTGTTTTTCATAACTATATAACCTTTCCAGTGACACTTTAAGAGGAAATGGAAAGTTGCACCGTACATCTCAAACCCATAACATATTAGTAAATACTTCAGAGCCAAAAGTTAGCTTATACCATATCCTAGTAAAATGTCGCCTTTTAAACCATTCTGCAAGTCCAAGTCCTTTAAAAAAATCTATTATCTTCACAAAGGGATATTTAGCTAGTGGAATTATAACTCCTTGGCTTGGCTCATGAATTGTGCTTGCTAAATGAAGCTTCCTCAGAAATCCATGTGGCCTTTACAGGGCTTTTAACTCCAAAAAGGCAAACCCTGGCTGGGCCCACTAATAGCGAGCACATATTATTTTCACGCACTTCCATTTGCGTGTGCAAATACCCATATTTGCTCATGGAAATTGCCCAGGCAAGCAGCTGATAATTTGGAAAAAGGACAGCCCTATTCAGCATGCACCAATGCATGAAGAAACACACGCTTTCAGTGCATGAAGATTGCCCAATCTGTGGGTAGTTCAAGGAGAAAAAAAAAAATGAATGTTCTTGTATGCTTGGCAGGTGAATTGACAAATAAGGAGGATGCACTTAAAGGAGGCTGCTAAAAAGTTAGCATTATTTCACAGTAATTTTATTCTAGCTTTGCTTATATAATTCACAGTCGTTTTTCAGCTTGGGGAAAAAAACTAGGCTGAAGACAAGAATTAACTACTCTATTTCCTCCTCTTTAATTTCCAGTGTCGGTTTTCACGGTTATTTTTGTTCTCTGTTTCTGCCTTCTGTGAATACATGTATGTGAATAACTCTCCTTTTTGCTCAGTTGAAATATATTTGGCAGTGTGAAAACCAGCTTCTCTCGCTTCTGCTACTTTAATTACCTTTGTTAATTCTGCTGGCTCTTTTCCGCCCCCACACTTCACCATCCGTCCACTTCCTTATCAAACTGGTGACCTATTTTTCTTTCCGTAACACTCATTATTCTATCTCTTAAAAAGTGGGCTGAATGGAAATGGGATGGGGAACTAAAATATTGATGCATGGCAGCGTTATTGTGTGCTGCTTCTGGGTGGCCCAGTTTCTTCAGGAGTCACACTGGTAGCAAGTAGAGTCTATTTGTAATAATAGCACAAATATCACTCTTTTTCCCCTCCAATAATTAAGACCTCTGTAAAGCCCCTCACCTCCATGTATTTCAGGTGCCTCCAATTGGCTCATACATGGGTGTGGTTCCCCAGCATGCTATACCTGCTGACTTCAGCACCACACATTGCATCTCTACAACATGCCATTGCCCCTCCAGAACATACATCTCTAGTTGCCAGACACTGGGTCTGCTGGATATGGCACTAACTTTGGGCACTAATGTCCTTACACACACTGTAACTTACTACTACTGCTAATACATCTGAGCCCATGAAGAACCAGTGTCATTGGCTGTTGACCTAAAATGGATAAGAATGGCTCTCTCTCTCCTCATGTATTACATTATGTTAAACGGCTGCAACCAAAACATTATACTGTGTCTCCATTCTTCACTTTGTCAAACATGTCTTTTTATTTTAACTTACAGATCCTGTTCAAGAGTCACTGTAAGACTCAGGCATGAGTCCAGTTGGTACAGGGGGAAGAATTCCCCTGGGTAATAGACACTGCCACCTGAGAAAGGCCCAGAGACTCTCTTTCCTTCAGGAGTCCTAGGTGTTGTTATTGGATCAAGCTTCTTACGCATGGCAACTCCTTTGCATAGGATGAGTTATCTATTAGTAAGATCCCTAGTCCCTCCCAAAAAGAGATTTTTGGGGGACCACCCCTTCCAGTCCAGCTGACAGGCTCACACATCTTTGAACCTCAGCAATCAACACAACTTGAGCTATAGCCAGGACCCCTATCACACTTTGTATTCATTTCTATTGGTTCTTCTGTCTGAAGTGATCATTTAGCTCATTGTTTCTCAGAGGAACAATATTAGCATTAAAGTTTTCATGAGAGTTTTGTCATTTCATATGTCATTAAGAATTACTTTTTTGGCTGAAAAGAAAAGAAAAGGGAAAAGGAATAAAAGAGAGGCAGAGGGAGATAGATAACTTGCAGAGTCAGCATTAGGAGTAATCTCCCAGCCACCCACTGTGAGGGGATTTACTCACTGTACCTTCAGATTCACAAGTCACTTCAGAGAGAGAGAGGCAAGAAGATAACTCCTGTAAATGTCAGTCTCTTAGATTACCCTGTTGTTAAAAGGGTTATTTTACACGCTGAATATTTTTTTAATCTGATTAAGATAAAATTAAGATTGAGATTAAGATAAGACTAAGTGGGTATCCACTTGTTTAAAACAAAATGGTAATAAGGGAAGAAAAGATTTAAAAGGTTAGAAGAGGGGAGAAGAAGGGTGGAAGAGAGAGAGATTTTTCTTTTTTAATTTTTCTTTCTTTTTTTAATTATTTATTTATTTATTTATTTATTTTTATTTTATTATTTTTTTTTTTGAGACAGAGTCTCCCTCTGTCGCCCAGGCTGGAGTGCAGTGGTGCAATCTCAGGTCATTGCAACCTCTGCCTCCAGGTTTACAGGCCTGTACCACCACACCCTGCTAATTTTTGTATTTTTAGTATAGACAGAGTTTCCCCATGTTGCCCAGGCTTGTTTTGGGGTTTTTGGGTTTTGTTTTGTTTTGTTTTGTTTTGTTTTGTTTTGTTTTGTTTTGTTGCTGTGACAGAGTCTCGCTCTGTCGCCCAGGCTGGTGTGCGGTGGTGTGATGTTGGCTCGCTACAACCTCTGCCTCTTGGGTTCAAGAGATTCTCATGCCTCAGCCTCCCAAGTAGCTGGTATAACAGGCATGTGCCACCATGCCCGGCTAACTTTTGTATTTTTAGTAGAGATGGGGTTTCACCATGTTGACCAGGCTGGTCTGGCCCTCAGGTTACCACAAGTGATCAGCCTGCCTCGGCCTCCCAAAGTGCTGGGATTATGGGCGTGAGCCACCACGCCCGACCTGAGGCTGGTCTTGAAATGCTGGACTCAAGTGATCTCCCACCTTGGCCTCCAAAGTGTTGGGATTACAGGCATGAGCTACCACGCCCCAACCTTGAGGTATTTCTTTGATAAGGTATTTATCCAAAAAAGTTTGAATAGGTACATCAAACGTATTAGTTTAAAAAGGTCATAGTTTTGGTCAGGGTACAAAAACTGTACCATAAATAGGGCAACCATTAGGCTGGCCAAATTATCTCAGCTTATAAGGGAAAATGAAAACAAAAGATAAAGAAATATATAATGACTTATCTCTGAAACTAATGTAAGCTGTCATTATGCAAATTTTTAGTTTCTTCATGGAGGTGGCCCAATTGTATAAAAAATGCACAATTTTATTATAAAAATAACTATAACTCTGATGCACAAATGTTAATAAACCATGTCTTATTGGTAACAAATAAAGTTCCCTTCATCCAACTTTTCAAAATTAAGGCTTATTAAAAAAAGGAGGATATTAAAAATTACCTATTTAGGTCATGTTTTATTTGCTGTTCTTAATTTAAAGAATACTTTCATTTAGCAATAATAGTCTATTTTAAAAGTATTACATGGATATATCAACCATTCCAAATTTCTACTAATGGAAACCACAGTTATTTTGACTGAGTATAATTTGTTCTAACTTTGATGAAGAGTGTGTGTATGTGTGTTTTAATAAAGTCTGTATCATAGCTCTAATATTAAAACTAGGACTAAAACAAGACACACATGATTAATAAATATCCTTGGGCAACTGGAAAGCTTATTTCATATATGAGAATGTGTACTAAGTAGACATTCTAAAAGTTGCTCATAGAAGGACTCTATCATTCCCAATTGTTGAACCATTAAATCCATTACATGATGATACAGCATTTTAGATATTTATTATAAATTTTCCTTATATTTTTCCTTATATATTTTATATATATATATAAATATATATTTATATATATTTCCTTATATATTTCCTTAACATACAGCATAACTTTGGGCAATCATGTAAATGTGGGTGTTTCACTTCTGATAAGAAAATGTAAAATATGAAATGTGTTTAACCATGCTGGATCATTTTCATGTATTGAAAAGAATAAACAGTGAACTTCTGTTTCCAAATTGCTCACTATTTAAAACTCAGTGTAACTCTTCATTTATCAGATTTATCTTGCTCATTCTTTGTTAATTAAGAAATGCTTAAAAAAATCAATCTCTGGTCAAATTCATTTTGCAGTTAATAGGTGCCCATATAGCAGCTTACTGTCTAATTACTCCATGTATGTGTTACCCGGCCTATGTTCCATTAGTAAACATTTAAAATTTAAACAGGGTAATTTGTTCATATTACAATAAAATCTTTACTTCTTTTCACCTGAAGCATATTCAGCATGGGTCAGAGGTTAATGAAAGTCTAGATGAACATCAATAGTGAGGTTAACTTCAGTTAAGCTGTAGAATCTGAGGTCCAGGATCATGTACCCTTTGGTAGCTTATTTTTCCTACCTGCGTAGTGGGGTTATAGAAAAATTATAATTTTAATTGATTATAAAATTGACCATGGTAAGGACCTGTCTCATTTTCAGCTTCCCCTCTAAAAACCTAAAACACTCTAAATTTGCTATACTTTAACCAGGTAACCTCCCCGGCATTCACTAAAGTTGCCAATGGTCTGTCTTCCTAAATACCTGGCACTAAGATATAGTAGATGCTATATTAATATTGAATGAATAAATGAATGGAAATGTCCTGTTTAAAAGGCCAAACAATTCCTTCCTAAAATCCAGTCCAAATTCATTTAATCCAATCCTGTTTGTTTCTCCTGAATGATTTTTGGTACCTGAGTGATGTGTTAATATTGATGCTGAAAATAAGATGTTATTGCTATCTTTATTACTTTCTGACAGCTTTCTCAAACATTTGCTCCAATGTTTTCTTCTCCTCGTTATGTTTTTCCAGCAGCCCACTTTCTTGGGTCTTGGACTGTCCATCCTCTCAGTACCATACTTAACCCAAAGACAAATCACTGTCCCATTTCCTCTCATATGTTAAAAAAAAAAAAAAATCTGCTCGAAAAGAACACACTCTGCGTTTTTATTTATCCTCATAGTTTCACACATGTAGCAATTTTATGTCCAAAATACAAGTTATTAGAAATTCTCTTTGAAGAGAGAAACATTAAAAATGTGATTAAATCATTTTATTAATCCACTTTACACTGGGGTTCTTTTCTAAAATCAGACAGATCACATGAAAAATTTTAAATTATAAAATATCATATTTCATCCACTTTATTCATCTATAAGTGGCACTGATCAAAATAATTAATATACTTTATTTTTAATGTTTTATAAGGTAGGCTTGATTATCTCTCTTTCAAACTGAATGTGCAAATGTCACCCTTTTATTTTTTTTTTCAAGAAAATTGCAGCCATCATTATCAACCCAAAAGAAAGATCTTGGTTCTAACTAGTAAGGGTTTCTTTGCTGCCCATAACTTTGCTTGCCCGATAGTTACCCAAAACTCTGATTAATCTGAGTTTTATCTAGTTTTACATCTAGGTAATATTTATCTAGAGCCAAGGGGTCACACCTAGTTTGCCAGTCTCTGAAAAGAATCATTCCCAACACATCTGTTTCAGCATCATTTATGCTAAATTATTGAAAGAAAGATTAAAAAGAATTAACGATTTTGCTTCCACAAGTCCTAGGAACCTTCTCCTCCTCCCACCCCAGAAAATGCACACTCAGACATGTACCCCAGACCTGGCCTGAAAGCCCTGGGGTTTCACACACCCTCTGAAGTTCATCCTCCAAACATAGATTTTTTTAAATCCCAGCTTTAGTCAGAGGGTAACAAACCCCAAGACAGTGGTGCAAAACTTGTGATGGGGAACTATGTCAAGCTGTATGGAGATTTTTAGAAACTTCTGTTGTTTGACTGAATGGACTCATTCTTTCAACAAAAACTTTTTAAGCCATTACTATGGACTAGATAGATTCAGGGATATAGCAGTGAACAAAATCATCAACGGGTCTCACAGAATTTACATTGTAGATAAAAAAGATTAAGACATCTAAAAGAAAGGTCCAAAAAAAATTTAAGAAAACCATAGTAAGAAGCTCAGATGCTATGGTGGGCAAAGAAACAGATGAAGCGATTTGATCAGGCAGAATTATGGTGCCTTTCCATGGAGAGGGAGCTAAGGTTAAAACGTCTCTGAGGAGCACAGCCACAAACAGCAGCACTAAAATGTTCATGTAGGCTTAGCAGTTGGCTTCTTCAGCAGAGAAATGGAGGGATATTAAAGGAATGCTGTCTTTACCCAAGTTTCTTCTCCAGGGACTGAAAAATGCCAACTTTACCCTCAGTCCTCAGGCTTTAAATCCCATCTCTAAAATCTTCATGTTAAATGAAGGGCGGGGCAGGGTAGGGTGGGGACATTTTTTCCATGGCAATGTAAATTCTCTTTTAAATAAAAGTTTGTCAGTATTTATCGAAAGCCTTAAAATTCTTAGAATTCATTGACACTCATGTTTGTGCAAAAAGCCATATGTGCAAGAGTATTTGTTTTTGCTGTGTTTATCTCAACAAAAGAAATAGCCAAACTCCATCAACAGCCCACTAATTATATCAACTTTCATATATTTGTACTTTGTTTACTGTGTGTCCATAAAAACAACATGAGTTAGATCTATGTGTCCTAAACTGAAAGAAGCTCCAAAATACATTTTTTTTAATTTCCAAAATAAAGGTACAGAATTTTATATATATATATATATATATATATATATATATATATATATATATATATCCATTTGTGTAAAAAGAAAAGGATATACTCCATATATATATCTGTGTAGAATATTTCCAGAGAGAAATAAAAAAGCTATACAAGACTGGTTGCCTATGGGGAGAAGTAGGTGGCTCAGGTGGAAGGGGAATTTATTTTTCATTATATGCTATTTGGAAATTTACAATGGACATACATTCCTTTTTTAATAAAAATAAGCTGGATCCAAAAGTGACTAGAGTTTTTTTAATGCATGTCTTTGACTTGGATATTCTAAGAAGCTTTCAAAAAATTGTTGATGAGAAACATATGTATTGTAAGGATTCCCTATTAATTTAATATAGCAAAAATGTGTAACAGTAAGAGACTGTAAATAAATGATAGTTTATTCATAAAGTGATAAAATGACGGTTTATTCATAAAGTGGAATGCTTTCCAGACACAAAGAAAAATGTTATGGAAATACATTTACTGACATGAAACATTTTAATTAAATATTGTTTAAATTGAAAAAGCAGGTAATACGTGTAATGTGTGTGTATATATATATGTGTGTACATGTGTGAGTATATGTGCATGTGTGTGGGGTTAATGGTGGAGAGACTTTGAAAACATTTTATTCTCTTGTGAATTATTATCTGTGTTTTCTCTGTGTTTTGCAGCAAGGCATTTTCTTTGTTTCTTTTTTTTTTCTTTTTTTTTTGAGATGGAGTCTCACTCTGTAGCTAGGCTGGAGTGCAGTGGCACAATCTCTGCTCACTGCAACCTCTGCCTCCCAGGTTCAAGCGATTCTCCTGCCTCAGCCTCCCGAGTAGCTGGGACGACAGGTGCACACCACCACGCCCAGCTAATTTTTGTATTTTTAGTAGAGACAGGGTTTCACCATGTTGACCAGGATGGTCTCAATCTCTTGACCTTGTGATCCACCCGCATTGGCCTCCCTAAGTGCTGGGATTACAGGCGTGAGCCACCGCACCCAGCCCAGCAAAGCATTTTCACTTTCACATTTGATTTATGAAAAAGGACGCAGGGTGGGGAACATCACACACCGGGGCCTTTTGTGGGGTGGGGGAATGGGGGAGGGATAGCATTAGGAGAAATACCTAATGTAAATGACGAGTTAATGGGTGCAGCAAACCAACACAGCACATGTATACATATGTAACAAACCTGCACGTTGTGCACATCTACCCTAGAACTTAAAGTATAATAATAAAAAAAGAAGGTAAAAAGGAGAAGCACAGTATAAATACATCTTGCATTAGAAAAATTGCATACATAAACATATTTGCATAGTTTGGTTCTGGAATCAACAAATAATCTTTGGATGGCAAAGTTCAGGATACCAAGGAAAAGAATTAAAGATAGAGAAGGCATGACCAAGCATTACTTAATGACATGCAGCATAGCCCAAGGTGGGGATCTATAGCAAATGATCTTAGGCCACAGGGCCAGTGTGTGGTCACTGGCAACTCTGGTAGGAGTAAGAGAGAATTAGATACAGGGATCACCAAGAAAAAGAGAGCTCTAGAAGGGTTCTGAAAGTGCTCAATAAGTTTTGCCTTGGCTGGCCTCAAATATCACCAAGTAAGAGCAACATGAAAAAAATCATGCTTATGATATAGTTTGTCTGTGTCCCAACTCAAATCTCATCTTGAATCCTATAATTCCCAGGTGTCATGAGAGGGACCCGGTGGAGGGTAATTGAATCATGGGGCGGGTCTTTCCCATACTGTTCTTGTGATAGTGAATAAGTCTCATGAGATCTAATGGTTTTATAAAGGGGAGTTCCCCTGCACACAATCTCTTGCCTGCTGCCATGTAAGATGTGACTTTGCTCCTCATTCGACTTCTGCCATGATTTTGAGTCCTCCCCAGTCATGTGGAACTGTGAGTCAATTAAAACTCTTTCCTTTATCAATTACCTAGTCTCGAGTATGTCTTTATTAGCAGCATGGGAACAGACTAATACAGTTTTCTTTATGCTTACATGGAAGTTCAGGGGACCTCTGAGTTGCTTTACCTGAAATGAGATCTCTTCGTTGAGTTTGTTGTACAATTACAACATAGATGGCATATTTTTCCTGATATTTTCTAAGAGCAAAATCTAAGCTAAAAACTCAATTTCTGACCTGAAAAGAATGCAAAAAAAAAAACTGTTTTCCTTAAAAGTTATCTTGTTTGGCAGACACGTATATCTAAACTCCAGCAAATCTATATGAACTTGCTATTTGGAGATGCATAAAACTTGAGTAAGTCTAATTTGTTCTGTGGATGTTTTAACCCTCAATCAACCTTTAAGAGTATTTTATTTCTTTTCCTCTTTTAATCTGTTTAAGGGGTATGGGGAGAAATAAGATCCCTTAAGTATACTATTTAGGTCTTTCCCCTCTCCTTTCTAAGAAGCTCATAAATCAAAATAGAAAAAAAATTCACACTTCTTCCCTCTCAGCAATATTTATTGAGGACTCAGACTGTGTACACAGCTCAATCTCCCAGATATTACAAAGAGAAATAGTAGAATTATCCCCTGCCACAGGGCGCTTACAGAGAGAAACAAAAACATGTGCTCCATAGGCTGTATGCAAAGGAAACTTCTAAAATATAAAACCAATTGCTCCCCGTGTGTGAGTTTATATATTTCCAACTCAAAGCCATAGAGATTCCACAGAATAGGACAAATGAGCCTAAGAAAAAATTGAGATCTTAAATTGCATTTAAAATCTGGTTTCTGAAAAGATTCTCATACAAGAAATGAACAGAGAATAAACAAAACAAAACAAAATACATTCGATTCCAAGTGCTAAACTGCTCCATATAGAAATTAGTATCATAGGACTGACATTAATATCATTGGGTTAGGAGTCTTTTTTTTTCCTTCTTTCATTGAGATCTAGTATGCACATAGTAAAATGCTGGAAATGCACTAATAAGCATATGGCTGAATAGAGTTTGGCACGTGTAACCAACACCCACATCATGATCTAAAACATTCCAGCACTCCAGCAGGCTTCCTCTTGCTTCTTCCCAGTCATATTGCACACTCCATACCTAAAGTTCATCATTGGCCTGTGCTCTGCCAGACACAGGAGACTGACAAAGAAAAAACTCTCTAGTGTGGCCATTAAGAAGAAAGAGAACGTAATTTCATGAAAGCCAGCAGATGAGAATAGGAGACGGTAACAACATGGTGGCACTAGGAGCGTGTCAGAGAGGTATTTGCACATTTCCCTCGCCCAGCCTGAACACTGCTCCCTCCACCACCAACACTGGCCAGTTCCCACTGTCTCCAGAGCCAGCTCAGAGGTCCTTTGTAAAAAGCCTTTCCTATTCCTTCCAGCACAGGGAACTGCATCTACTATGTGCTCCAGAGTTCCCTGCATTTAGCTCTGTCAAAGTCGTGTTTGCACCATTTTGTTTGTAATCACGCATATGTCTCCCTTTGAAACTGTGTGTCTCTTGAATAATGAAATCCGATTGTATTTGTTTTTGTGTACCCCCCACAAACTCCTAGCAGTCACATGCAAACAAATATGTACATTCTATATATATTATGTTTCATAGCTGAATTAGTTGAAGGAAGAGCCAGAAAACCAGTGATTAAAAGACTATGTCCTAGTTCTTTTTCTTCCACCACTACTAGAACACTTTAGGAAGTACACACAGTTTTTCTGTTTCTTCCTTTTATTCTCATTTACTACAAATTAAATTTGACGATTTTGCCCACTGATGTACTTCCAGGGCCTAGACTACATCCTGGAACTCGATAAGCCCTTAATAGATATTTTCTAAATACCTGAATGAGTGGGTGAATGAATAAAAGCCTCCCCTTGCACAGTTATTGTAAGGTCATGCCTTCTTGATCTCTCAATTATAAGGGGATATAAATATTCAGCTGCTACATACTGTATTAAACGTGAAATCAAATGTGATGGATGAAGAGTTCTATGTGTTATTGATATTGAAAAGAAGACATGAGTGTCATTTTACATGACTGTCATCACTGCCGTTATTGTACTCCTCCATAGACCTGCAAATCTTGTGGGTGAGCAACATGCTGGATAATTTTCATGGAGCAACTCATGCATCCACAAATCCTTTCAGCTTTGGGAAAAAATGTGGACTCACAGAAATATTCATTTTTTCACTCTCTGATTTAGTATGTTTTCTCTCTTGTGCACACATATTTTCACACTCCTTCTCTTCATCTCTTCACTTCCTTCTAAAGGTTGATTGCCATTCCCCAGTGCATTTCCGTAAATCTTGTAAGTACACAATATCAGTCCTCTTCTCATGATAACTGCCAGCTTAATGTGTGTCTTAGTGGGACCCTGTGTTCCCCTCCCATCCTGACACACCCATCTTGACACACCATACCTAGATTCTAATCCAGGCCTCTCAGAATCTCATCTCTATTGGAAAAAAGTCCTAATCCTTTCCAGAAAGTTCTATGAACTTCTTAAGTTAAATTAAGACCTGCCCTTTTCTAACACATCCTTAGTCCCCAGAAGTCTGAGTCAGGGTGAAGATTCAGAGGTCTCTAGCTTAGCCTGCTGATTTAGAAGATTGTTCTTCCATTCTGTATGGTGCCAGCTCAGTCCCAAAGATTTACACAATTGCTTTGTGTCCATGCCTACTCACCTCCAGTTTCTCCTCCACCTTTTGCTACAGTGACCCCAAACTTGGCTTCTGGTCAAGATGACACAATAGTCACACATTGATGCAAAATGCAGAGCAATAACATAGGCTTAAAATATATTTTTAACGTATTTTTAAATATATATTTTAAATATATATTTTAATATGTATATTTTTAAACCTATGTTATTACTCTTCATTTTGGATATATTTTTATATATTGTATTGAATATTCAATAAATATAAATAGAATATGTGTATATATATACACATATGTGTATTCAATAAATATAAATAGAATTTATATTCAATAAATATAAATAGAATATATGTTGTGTGTGTATATATATATATATATATATATCAGGAAAAGGAGAAGAGCTGGCCCTTGAGTAGGGGCTGTGGCCAAGCACAGGAACCCAGCTGCAGTGACTGACAAGAAACTATTGTAGTTCCTAAGGCAATGAAATAGGATTTCACACGAACATAATAGATGGAGAGAAACAATCCTATGGAGGTTGTGGAGGCAGAGATGCCACATATGTCAAGTTAAAATCTTCTGACAGTCATAATTTTATTGTAAAAAGAGAATATGCCCTAACATCAGGAACAATAACACCCATGTTGAGCGACCCAGTTCAGTGGTGGAAAATGAAGCCATCGAAGTGAATTTTAGAACAATCCCTTCACATGTGCTATTAAATGTACTTATTCCATCTACAAGGTTTTCTATACTAACAGCTCTACTGAGAATGCCAAATTCCCAATTGCACCTAAAATTACATTGAAATTGCTGATGGCTGTGAACTCCCTAGAATGTTAAATAAAATAAAATCTAATACAACGCTAAATTTTTTAAACATGTAATTCCCATAGTTAGAAATTCTTTCATATTTTCTGTTGCCTCTATGCAGTTGCAAACTATGAAGTTCATTGAAAAGCTGATTACTGTCAGAGTTGAAATTTGGTCCCTGTATAAATAAATCAGTTCAAGATATTTTCACAAACTAAAAAATTAACAAATATGCCAATTTGTTATCAATTTGTTATACCTTATCCCTTGGTGAGACTTTAAGTTACAGCAGTAACTGTACAGTAAATGCTGAGAATTAAGTTTAAATGTGTAAGTACCACATATAAACACAGACTACCTACTGACATGTTTGTAGTGCCTTTTAAAAAAAAACTTGTTCTGAATTTATTATACTTATGGCTAGCATTGCTCGGATTATACAAATATTTCAGCATAAACGTGCTTTAACTTAGTTAAGACATTGATTTTTATGACAAATACATAAGAATTGATCTTCTGTAAGTGTCATTTGATGAAAACAAAAAGGAATGGTCAGGCTCACAAACATAGTAAGAATGTTATTATAATGTTTTTCAACATTGTTCTGAATATCCTCAGCAGCATGAATAGCAAATAAATGAATAAATAACCTCAGAAGAAGGAAATCAGACTGCCATTATTTACAAATAGTATGCTTGTGTACATAGAAAATACAAAAGAATATAAAAAAGGTATTAGAATTAAATATGAGTTAAGGAAATTCAAAAACTTACTGTAATGGTTAAAGATGGATAATGGGCACATAAAAGTTTGTTACACAAGTCTATTTTCTATATGTTTGAAAATTTCCAGAATAAAATTTTGGAGAAAAAAATGAATTTTGCAAAGTTCATGAATAAAGTCTGTTCCACCATAGTCAATTAAATTTGCGTATACTAGAGACACCAAAAATGAAAATTTAAAAGATAGCATTTACAATAAGAGCAAAATATATCAAATACCTAGAAATAAACATAAGTGAATACAAAATATCTAAGCATAAGACTATAAAATAATATTAACAGAAATAAAAACAAATCTAAATGCTTACAGGATAATCCATGCTGATGGAGTAAAGAGTTGATATTGTAAAGATGCCAGTTCTCCCAAATTTATCTATAGATCCAATGTAATTTAAATATTGTGTGTGTGTGTGTAACTTGACAAACTGATTCTAAAAGTAATATTAAATGTATATTTGGATATGCAAAAGGTCAAGAATGATCAAGATAACCTTAAAGAGGAAAAAGGTAAGACAGCTTGCTCTACTTATATTAGCGATTATTATAAAGCTCTATCTACTTATGTTAGTGATTATAAAGCTCTAACATTAAAATGGTGTGTTGATGGTACACAATAGACAAATAGATCAATGGAAGAAAATAGAGAACACAGAAACAGATACTTATTTATGTAGACATTGATTTATAATAAAGGTGGAAAAAGGGTAGCCTTTTCAATAAATGGTGTTAGGCTAACTGAATATTCACAAAGGGAAAAATGCTCTCTACATTTTACCGTGGGAAAAAAATCTATTCTGAGTAGTTTGTAGATATGTACGTGAACGGCAAATAATAATAATGGAAAATAATGCAGAATAGTATCTCTATGACCTTGGAAAAGGAAAATGATTTTAAGCAGGTCATTAACGAAAACAATGATGAATTGTGTTATATTAAATTAAGAATTTCTGATGATCAGAAATAAAAGAAACTATCAGCAGTATGAAAAGGCAAGCTATGACATGTGTTAAAATAAAATATTCGGCCTAATTAAGTTTAAAGGTGTATAATTGATTCTAAATGAACAATTCGTGAATCGGGCAGCCCCCAGAATCACAGCAGATTCAGAGAGACTCCAGTGCGGTGGAAGAAGATTTATAGACAAAAAAAGGGAAGTGGGTACAGACATCAGAAGTGAGGTACAGAAACAACTGGATTGGTTACAGCTCAGCGTTTGCCTTATTTGAACACAGTTTGAACACTCAGCAGTGTACGAGTGGTTGAAGTACGGCTGCTGGGATTGGCCAAGACTCAGCTGTTGTTACAGGCACATACTCCTAAATTAGGTTTTCAGTCTTCTCTACCTGTTAAGTTAGGTTGCAGTTTGTCCACAAAGACTCAAATATAGAAGTATGCAGTCCTTCTCAGGCCATATTTAGTTCGCTTTAGCACATGGCAGAAGACATTTTCAGCAATTGAGTCAACAAAGAGCTCACATCCAAAATGCATAAAGAACTAACAAAAACCAAGTAGAAAAAACAGAAAATCTAATGAAAAAAGGAGTAGGACACTTAAACAGGCATTCATAACCGATGCTATCCAAAGAAAGGATAAATATATGTAAAGGTGTCAACCTCACAACGAGGTATCACAGCACAGCTAACAGAATGGTTAAAACTAAAAATCAACTAATAATATCAAGTGCTAACAAGCATGTGAAGCAATAAGCATTCTCATATACTGCTCATAGGAATGTAAATTGGTAAATTAACTTCGGTAAACAATTGGCATTATCTACTACAGCTGAAGACATGCATATTATTTGAGCTAGCACTTCTACATACTTACCTAACATAAATGTATGCCATGTGCACCAAGAGACATGTACAAGAATGATTATAGTAGCATTATTCATAATAAATCCTGACTAGGAAAAATCAGAATGTCTATTAACATTAGAATGGATAATTAAATTGCAGTATATCAATACAGTTGAATACTAAATAACAATGAAAATTAATGGATTATAGCCTTCAGCAACAAGATAGAAGAATATCACAAGCATAAATTTTAGTGAAAGAAACTGGATACCAAAAATATATACTCTATGATTTCACTTATACAAACTTCAGAAACAGGTAAATCTACATGATGATGTCAGAATTTATGATAGTGGTTTTTTTTGTGTGGAAAAGACAGGGTGGTGATTAGAAAGAGGCCTAAAAAAAAGACTCTGGGATGCCAGCAATGTTTTATTTCTTGACTTACGTCAGAGTTACAGAGGTGTTTGCATTGGGATAACTAAGTTATATATTTGTGAATTATAAACTTTTAAAAATATTAGAAATGGAAAAGAAATATAAAATAAAATCAGGCAGAAATGAGAAACAAGTTGATATAAAAATAACTTGCTAGATATCTTAGAATTTTTTTAAATGTTATTGAAGTTTGTTTTAAACACAAAGGATAAGATCTAAACACTGAAAGATAATACTGTGAAAATTATTTTTAATTCATCATCGATAGACAAAAGAAAAGACTTCAAAAAGTCATAGAAGATATGCAACATTTGTGAAACAGGCATTCCATTTTTTCAATTATAGAAAAATAATATTTAAAGACATATAGTCAAGAATTTTCCAAAGTTGAAGGAATACCTGAGTCCCACAATAAATGAAAATATGATACATTGAAGCATATGATTTGAAACCTGCAGAATATCAAGGATAAGAATAAGACCTTAAAAGCTGCTGGAGAGAAAATACCAACAAAAGAGCAACAATTACAGTAGATTTCCCTTCAGCAACAGTATATGTCAGAATACAATGGCATTTCTCAAATTTCTGGAAGAAAATAAGTCAACCCAAAGTTTTATACCCAGCTAAATCATCATATTGAGCACAATAAAGACATCTCCAGACATCAAAGACTAATGTACATTTCCCTTTACCACAATGACTACTCTCTTTAGATTTCATTTCTCACTTCCTTTTCCACTGTTTTTGAAACACATTGTCTGCCAAGTAAAGAATTCTATTTCCAAATTCATTAATATGTTTGCCCTCTTGTCATGTTCCTGAATCCCCTCCCAAATAGTCACCAGTGCCATATGAATACATAGAATTTGTCTTTCTGCTCCTGTGTCCAGACTGCTAAGTACTGTGAAAAAAAATAATGAAAGAAGGAAGGAAGGAAGGAAGGGAGGAGGAGGAAAGAAAGAAAGAGAAAGAGAGAAATCAGCTAACTGAGCTATCAAAATTATACACCACTAGGGGCTTCAGGCTGCTTAGCATTGCTTTTACTTACACTCAGTTATCTCCACTTTACATTACTCATGTTACTTATTCCTTATTTCTTGTTCTATCCACAAGCCGTTCATTTTTACTCTTTTTATTGTCCACAAAATGCCTCTTACTTCTCAGTGAAAAAAAAGATGAATGGCCTTAACTTATTTATTTCTGGGAGGTCAAAATCAAAATGTACGTAATTGACAGTGTATGTCTCCTCTGTTGTTGAAGAAATTGAAACTATTTAATTCCTTAGTAGATTAGTGCTTACAATTTCATATCTGCTCTATACCATCACCATCATCACATAAAAATAACTATAGCAACAATACTGTACTTTTATTTAAAAACAAAAATCTTCCACAGATATTCTCACTATTGATAGAATGGGTTTATTATCTCCAATCAACAGAGAGTGATTTGCCCAAAATCACAATTATTTGTGTGCCAAACTGAGACTAGAACCTATGGTCCTTCGTTCCCAAAATGAGTTCTTTGTTCATTGCTCTATCCTGCCACTGTACTTTGAAATGATACTGTTTTACTCAACTGTGTCAGGACAGAATAACCCTCCAGGTAGTGTGAATAAAGTTCCCTATAAAAAAATTCTTATTAGAGAAAATATTTCTTTACTATGTTAATCATTTCCCTTAATAAAAATATCAGTCAGAAGAAAAGACACAGGAAAAAATCTACTTAACAACTGTAATGCATATTTGTTTCCCCTTCTCACCCCAGTGAAATCCTTTCTCCTACTCAATATTGCTTGTTATCTTTGATACCTACAGCTATGTTTGCTCATTTGTAAGAATGCAACTTCAGGTCTACTCATGAAATGAAGAAACCCTTTGCTGTCAACTTCAGTCATAATACTGTACTTGACCCAGCTAGCTAGAATACTTAATGTTGATACACTCTAAGCAAACATACCATTTTTGTTATCTCCTGCTGTAAACAAACAGGAAATTAAAATTCTTCAGGTTAGATTCTATCCTTGGATTCTTGACTCCCACTGAAATCAATGGGAGCTGTATATGCATTTATAAAGAGAAATTTAACTTTTTTAATTTAGAGGAAATCGCAAGAACTTTAAAAATGACTTTTTGAACAAAATTGAAAGGAATAATTTATTCAATCAATTATACTTTTTAGTACAAATGTTTATATGGCTCATAAAATTGTTGGTCTGCTTCTATTATGATAAACAACTAGCAAACTAGAGTTAGGAATAAAAAAAATGAAACACTGAATTATGAGAGACAGGATTATACTGGGAGAAAAGGATGTGGTTTTGAGGTCATAAAGGCCTGATTATAACTTCCAAGTAAGAAATTACTTAGCCATAACATAATGGTTAGCCATTTAATGAGTATGTTTTATGTGACAGGCATAGGTTAAACATTTTACCAAATCTCAATAAGTTCATACTACTATTAGCCTCATTGTTAGTTGATGAAACTGAAGCTTAGAGAGGTTAAGTTGCTCAAGGTAACACAAAATGTGGTAAAGTTAGGATTCAGGCCCAACTTATCAGGCCCAATGGCCTGTGGTCATCACCAAGTTTAAAGACTGGTAGCCTGGGTGCCAAACCTAATCCACAACATGTTTCATTATTTTGAAACAGTGTTTTTAAAATTAAAATATTTCACCTAATGTCTGGATTTCTGGTTTCTGATAAGTTGGGAACCCAAGCAATAGCAAGCTGATACTTGAATATGACAGTGGTTGGCCACCTGGATAGCAGCTGTCCCTTCAGACAAAGCATGAACTCATAGGTCCCCATGGCTCCAGATTGTATTATACCCACCTGCTTCATTCATGGATATCACTTGACTCCTGCAGTGTTACAGTGGCTGTAACACTGTACACTCCCTCCAAGGAAGGTATGTCGTCTCTTTGAGGCTTATTGTTACTATCTTATTAAGTAGAAATATTAAGACCCACCATGCCTGCTACAAGGAAAAAATTCAACAATGTACATAAGCACCCAGAAAATACTAGGCACTTATTAAATAGTAACAATTATTATTTTATTATTAAATAGTAATTATTATTTTATTAATAAAAGCATGAAAACTAAGTAATTTATTTTAACCAAGGAGTCAAGTTCAGGCACCTTGAAGACACTATTATTTATACTACAACTGACAATTCATTTAAGTTGAAAATGTGCTGGTCTCTGAAATAAATACTTTCTAAAAGTAATCCACTACCAAAACAAACAAACAAAACAAAAAAGACAAAAACAAAGTAAATAAGCAAACAAAAAAAAAATCCCCCAAAGGGTGTTTAAACTAGGAGATAGAAGCAGACATTCAAGCAGCTAATTCTAGACAATCAAATGTGAAAGTGCAGAAGGTATGCCCTACTGACATATGTATTTATATCTAATTTTTTCTCAAAAGATATGTACATGCAAGGTCATCTGACAAAAGTTAATAGGAAATCAGAGTGAAGAGGATTTAAAAGTAGGAAAATCTAAAAGTGGGTAGAGATAAGTACCATCTACCTCTCTACAGAGGATGACAATCTTTGGCTCAGCATATTCTGATAGCCAAAGCTAAAGAGGAAACACAATCCATTATGTGATTCACAGTGCTCCTAAGATTACAAACTCACCAGTGGCTTTCCTGATGCTGCATTCTGAGAGAAATATATTATCAGAATCAGACTTTGAGCAATAAATGGATATTGGAGAGTTTGCATTTATGGTTTCTGGCAGAACTCTGGATTGCCGTCAGGAGTTGGCAAACTTTCCGTGAAGGACCAAATAGCAAATATTTTAGCCTTCATGGGCCACACAGTTTCTTTTGCAACTACTTCATTCTGCCATTAAGATGTGAAAGCAGACTTGGACAATATGTAAATAAATGACATGAGCGTGTTTCAACTATTTAGGAAAACAAGCAGCAGGATGGATGTGATAGAGAAGCTGTGGTTGACCAGCCCCTGGTCTATGTCGTCAATTCAAAGCAGAGTTGTCATTTCCAAAAGATATTTTTTGATGGTTCTATTAGTGAAAAATAAAAGCTATTTTTCAGATTGATGATTGCTTTCTGGAGCTGACTATCCACTCCTTACAGCTTGGAGTAGAGTGTTAAGAAGTGGATCAAAATTCCAATAGGCATTAAATAGTGGTACTTCTTGTGTTATGCTGGTATACTGGCTGTTACCTAGACTGTACAGGAAGGAGTGACTGAGTTTGAGGGGTTCATAGCTCAGGTGGCCATCTAGACAGGGACCAGGCAGGGTCTGTGCGTTGACACTGGAAGCCCCCAGAGCTCACACAACTGTGATAGTATAATGCAGCTTCCAAAGAGACCTACGAGGAAGATTATTTACATGTGTCTTGGAGTTGCAGAGGCTCTCTGGAAGTGAGGCTCACAATTTTCCAGAACATCTTCCAAAGGGTATTGAGAAAATCAGAGATTTTACATAACAAGGATTTTTGTTGTTGTTTTGTTTTGTTTTGATCATTACCAGTGACTAAAATTGTCCTTCATCTCTCCAGTCATACCTTCTTCTGACGAGTCCATAGTAATTTCAGAATGCAGTAATATTAATAGTTCATTTCCATCCAAAGGAATCATTGTCTCTAGTTTTTTTTTTTTTTTTCAAATAAAAATTTAAGAAACGCTACATATAAAAATGACCATTTCTATGCCAGGCACTTAGTAGTAAGTGAGAAAACAAAGTACTGAATTTGAATCTGTACTTCATAGAAAAGCAAATTAATTTCAACTCAACAAAATTACTGAAATATGCAAAGAACAAAGTTATTAATTGAGTCTGGGGAGGTCAGGGAAGCTGGCACTGAGGAGGTTACATTTGAACTCAGTCTTAATGGAATCAGACATGCACCAAATGGGAAAAGAGTGTAGGCAATGATGACGGGCAGGAGGACACTGCTGGCAAAAGACACAGCATGAGCAAAGGCATGTGACATAAGGGAACATGGAAGGTTCTAGAATGGAAAGCACTATATTTTCACAAATGTGTGATGTGAAGAAGGCATAAGAGATGAAGCTGGAGAAGTAGGCAAGACACTATCAAGTTAAAGGGAATATTGAAGCAGATTAAGACCAACAGTGGTAGCCTTCATCAATGAGCTAATGCGTCTGTGGAAGGCACATCCCAGAGAAATAAATCACACAAGTATCAAGGGGGTCTGCCCTTATTTGGGGCTTAGAACAGAGAAACAGAGACTGGCTTGGCAGCAGGGGTCTTGTAGCTCTCATAACACCAGAGGCACAACTCTGAGAAGGATAAAGTTTCCTGAATCACAGGAAAAGATGCCCTGCAAAGTAAAAGGTGAAAATGTCAATGTTCTCCTGGCACTAAAGATCTTAGATACAGCATCTTCAAGAAGCTCCTCAGGTGGAGGTCCTCAGGCTCCCTGTCCTCTTGAACCCTCACCAGGTTTTGGAGAGAACTGCAGTAATTTGTACTTTTTTTCTCTTCTTTTCTTTTTTCTTACCCCCCCGCCCGCCCCCGGAAAAGAGGGAGGGCTGAAAAAAAAGTAAAAGTCTCCCTTTGTTTTCTTCACTCCCCTACTGGGTTCTTGATTCATTAGGAATTGGTTCCAGTTCCTGGAGCATCCCTGGAGCCAGCTACCCTGGCTTTCACTGGCAGCCTTCACAGTAACACAAGCAGCCTGCAGCCCCACTCTGTACTCAGCTTTTATTCATGCTAGGAAGGCCTTCTCGCCTTCGGAAAATTCACACTGCTCCCTGATCCAAATGAGAAGAACTGCCTTTTAAGCAACGCTAAGACTTTCAGATAATAATCACCCTCGAACTTGAAAACATAACGCTCCTGTTTCATTGTGATCTCTTCATTGGTTTCTAGACCTCAAACTCCCCAGGGAATGTCACAAATTCACATGCTATCTCTGAAAAATAGATACAGCACTTGCAGCTCTGATTTACCTAAGAAGCGGTGTTAGAAAAAAAAAGAAAGAAAGAAAGAAAGAAAAACAACATATTCATGTAGCCAGACAGCTCCCTGTCACAGACACAGATAAGAAAGCTCAAACTGTTAAGTTATTCTAGGAAAAGGCTGAACATTTTATATTAACTTGTTTCCTTCCAGGTTTTTTCTTTTTTTCAGGGAGCTTGAGAAAAAATTTTACCTATTCCCTTTTTTACTAAGCAATTTGTCATCAGATAAAGTAGCTAAAAAAATAGTGGTGAGTACAAGAAGGCATCCTAGGCAGCATGGTGCAATGGGAACTGTCAAAGGACCATGAGAGCAGACAGAGCTGGGTTTAAAGCCTGTCACTAGTTAGCTGGGTGACCTGAGCAAGTATTGCAAATGCCCTGAGGCTCAATTTCTTATCACCATAAAAAGCTCACGAGATTGGGAAGGTTAAATTAGATAATGTGTTGATTTAACTCCTCCAAGAAGCAGGCATTAAGAGAGTTCATTCAGGGAAACATCTGAGAGATAAAACGGGAAGGAAGCGGAGTAGGCTGAGAGATAGACCACAATGCAGTCTGGCCCCTGTGAAGGCGAGAGGGAAGGCTTGGGCGAGAGCCTCCTGACTGGGGTTCTAAGAAAGTTCAGCAAGGCCAATGGGAAGTACTTGTCAAGCTTAAGTCACTTGTCAGCGAATTCTCCATTTCCCAGAAACAGATCAGCCTTAGCATCCCTGCCACACTCAATCATCGGCTGGGAGCAGCCGTGGGAAGCTTGGCCTCCATACAAACTTGGTGATGGATTTCAGAACACAACAGCTGGGGCCAGACAATTATGCTCCCTGCTGAAAGAGATTTGAGAGACATGGTCTCATAACAGATAACATATGAAAAGCACTTGGCACCAGTAATTGGCATATAGAAGTCATTCAATACATGTACTTTCTCCCTTAGATGGAGTTGTTCTGGTGGTGTTTTTGTTTTTGTTTTTTTGAGACTGGGTCTCTCTATGTTGCTCAGGCTGATCTTGAACTCCTGGGCTCAAATTATCCTCACACCTCAGCCTCCCAAGTAAGCCAGGATTACAGGTACACACCACTACATCCGGCCTGATGTCATTTTGTTAAAAGTCTTCATGATTTAAATCAACTTTGAGATGTAAGTTGATCTTCAGTTTATGAAATGCAGTATACAAATTGGTGACATCTCATTCATATTTGGAAAAAGAATGTTTTTCATCATAAACTTTGAAGGAAGAAGAGGATGAAAGTCTTGCACTCTTCCAGAAGACGCGAGTCGTCCATCCCCGCTTGCTATCAATGGCAGAGTTCCCAGGATAGCAGTGGCATCCCTGGTTTACATGTCTGGGGGTAAAATTTTTCCATCCAATTTACACAAGCTTACATCATAATCTATGCTTTCAGGCATCACACTCCTACTCTTGTGGGTTTCATACGTTGCTAAAACATTTCATTTCTTGACATCCAAGAAAATCACCTGCTATTTCAGGTTATCATTTCCTAAGGGGCTACAGCTTCCAACTGAGAAGACCTCAAACTTCAGTCTCCCTTGGATGAAAGCAGAAGTCTACAGTTTCAAATCTATATAGCTTTCTAATTATCACACAAAGATCTTTATATGAGAATGTATAGGTAATGCATACGTATACAGACTTGGTTTCAGGTATCCAGGATTCCAGCAGTAGGTTTTTACTAGCTTTTTATTTGGAAACTACCTAACCTCTGTGAATCTCAGTCTCTTCATATTACAAAATTGGACTAGTGGTATCTTAGGTTGAAAAGTTGGCATGAGGTTCAGAGACATTAAACACAAAACACCTAGTATAATGCCTAATACATAACAGGCACTTAATAAATTATAACTAATAATATCTTTTCTAGCTTCTGAACTATAGGAAAATATACAGGAAATGTGTTCTGATATGAACTGCATAATGTTATGCAACTTATCAATAAAGAACTGCAACCAGAAACTCCAATAATAGTTAATGCAATAATATCTGTTTAGAAAGCATATGATTATGGGTTGAAATCTAGCTGAAAATAGGAACCATAAAATTAAAAAATTATAATATATGAATAAACCTCATAAAACTAGGAGTAGGGTTGTTCTCTGTCATAGATTCAGCCCCATAAGGCACAGTTATGGAATTGTATATGTAAAATTAGAAGGTAAAAGTTACCAAATATTTGCTACTAGTTGCTTCATAGCATCTTCCAGATCAAAGCACTGCTAATCTTTACAAACCAGAAGCAGAGATCCAACATTAGATATTTTTCCTAGATCTTGTTGGATATTTTCTTCGTTTATTTCATACTTTGATTTCATATGCCTGAGATTAAGTATACACTCCTTTTCAACCAAATTGACTTATTCTTTCCCCGAGGAAACAGGGCCTTCTCTGAAATGTATGGATCCTCTCCTGCCAAGAAGAGAAAAGTCTTCCTATCTTAATCGGGTCAAGGCCCCTCCTTGCTAGGCCCAGAGGTTGCTCAGCAGTAGCCGATAGAGAGAATGATTCCCGCTCTGCAACTGTCTGTTACCATGGAGACATGCTAATTAGTGGATGATGAGAAAGCAGAGGAGTTCAGGGTCTATAAAGCCATGAGAAAGAAAGGGAAATAAATGGAAAAATATGGACAAAGAGAAATGAGAGGATCTTTTGGGGCAAATTGTAGGTAGAGAAGTCCTCAAATGATTGGATCATAATGAAGAGGTGGAAGAGGGTTATGAAAAGAGAATATTAATGACAAAGACTCATATATTATGAGTTTGATGAAATGAAGGGTGAAGACTATAGCGTAAGAGAAGAAATGGAAAACTCCAGTTTCACCAACTACAAACTCAAAGGATCATGGAATGTTAAATATCTGAATTTTAAAGGTGTTGAAGGACAGAACTATTCTTTTCTAAAGGAAAGAAAATGTGACATTTGGGGCCATCAAAATAGATTGCAAATCTCTGCAGACATTTCTCTGCTTAAACTTGAATTCACATTTACCAACCCATCATAATTTGCTGGGTGAAATGTCAATGCACCAATGCATGAGATTCCTGTCCAATTCTCTGAGCCAAAAGTGCCCTTGGATTTCTATATCCAGACCTCCAAGAAATAATAGCATAGAAAAGGAAATATAGCCGACAATTTCAGGAGCTATGTTTTAAAAAGATAATATAGAGACAAAAGTGCCATACCTAAGGGCATATGAGTTCTTACATACCTAAGGCATTTTGAAAACTTGACTAAGTGATAACATCTGTCTTTTAAAGAGATAATTTTATATTACATTGATATAAATGTTTTCTATTTTATATATTGTATGGTTTTTTTAAATTATACTTTGTTTTAGGGTACATGTGCACAACGTGCAGGTTAGTTACATATGTATACATGTGCCATGTTGGTGTGCTGCACCCATTAACTCGTCATTTAACATTAGGTATATCTCCTAATGTTATCCCTCCCCCTTCCTCCCACCCCACAACAGGCCCCGGTGTGTGATGTTCCCCTTCCTGTGTCCATGTATTCTCATTGTTCAATTCCCACCTGTGAGTGAGAATATGCGGTGTTTGGTTTTTTGTCCTTGCGATAGTTTGCTGAGAATGATGGTTTCCAGCTTCATCCATGTCCCTACAAAGGACATGAACTCATCACTTTTTATGGCTGCATAGTATTCCATGGTGTATATGTGCCACATTACACACTATTGCTGTATTACACTTGAGCTGTTAACACATTTTGCAAGAGATATTTATGCAAATACAAACATATTGTTAATGTACTAATAAGTAAGCTACTGGTGAAGGCCAAGATATTATATCAGAATAAACCCAGGTATGAAGGAAGAAAACTGGCCCATCGTGTTAGTTTCAGAGGAGTTATGGAGTTGTATGAGTCTCATGTGCAAAACTCTTCTCATGCCTGTGCAGATGAATGAATGCACAGCACTCCAGACCTTGGAAATGTCCACACACACACACACACACCTTGGATTTCCCTTCTTCCATCTACCCAGACTGTCTTCTACCATATAGACCTTGGAAATGTGCCCCACACACACACACCTTGGATTTCCCTTCTTCCATCTACCCAGACTGTCTTCTACCATATCGATTCCTTCTCATCCTTCAAATCTAAATCAAACACCATCTCCTTAGTAGAGGCCTCCCTAGACCTTCTCAAGTAGTTAGTGGTACCCTTCTTAGTGCTCCTGAAGTCCTTTGTATCTACCTCTCTTAAAGAGCTTAATTCTAGACATTTTGGCTATTTGTTTAGATAATTGTCTATCCAAAATTGTAAACTCTTCAGGGAAAGAAATTTTATTTTACATACCTTAATATTCTTAAGTGTTCCCAGAACCAAGCACAATGCTGAGAATACAAAGATATTTGTTAAATATTTATTGAAGTGTTTGTAGCAATTTATAACCAGTAACTAATTTATACAGTGATTTCAATTTTATAGCAGGCTTTCATGCCACTAGAGTGTAAGATTCTTAAATCCCCATGCCCTTTTTGCTTTCCTCTATCTTCAATACATTAACTCAACAGGTGTGCCATTAAAATTTGTTAGATGAGTATCCAGATCCAGAATTATTCAGGAACACTGCCTGCTTTTCAAAACTCATAGTTCCTCAGCAACATCATAATGCCTGAAATTCTCTTTGCTCTGTCAGTAGAGATCAAACTCTGCTAACATGTGTGTATTAAAGGGTAAGCTTTCCTAGTCGGTGAATTTTCCCCTGAAGATGACAAATGCTGGAAGCGAATGTTGTAGAAATTCCAAGGAGTTCCCAAAACAGCTTAGGCTCTGGTCAGTTGGAGGAGCTCACAGTTGGTCCAGAGCCAATTCCAGGTTCTAACATCGGGGTAGCCACCTTCAGGATGGGGCCAGGTTGGCAGGTGAGCCCACCTGACTGATCGGTGAGGAAGAAAGAACATTAGCCCTCTCCAAGCTGTTGCCTTCATTTCTCTGTCACTCTGCTTACTCTAAAGCCATCTTTTTATCATGGTTTTTAAAATCACCATGCCATAAATAATTTTTTTAATGTGAGCCATGACATTGAAAATGTTTTTTGAAAAGTGCCATCTTGAGGGAAGGCATGCCATGTGCTCCAGGGAATCAACCGCTCTTCCTGCTTTACTCCCAGTCATACTTCTGAGTTAGCCAAATGTGTTAAGAAAGTACTTGGATTTGCAGACATGATGGACATAAATCCAGATTACTCTCTAACCTGAAAATATCTCACCCTTCTACTCTTCAAGAGTCTCTGAAACTCTCACAATGCTAATCATTATAGGTGAGGAATTTCATGGCTCACATTTAAAAAAATAAATCATCTTAGGTTCCATCATCTATGAATACTAGGTATGGAACACAAAGCAGATCTATTTGGAAAGAGCAGAGGGAAAGAGCTGGAGTCTAGGAAGGCCCAAGTGGTGATGCTTTAGTGGAAGATTCTAAGCAGCCAGCAGACAGCTGGAGAATGCTAAGTAACTGAGGACCACACAGTCTGGGCAAATGAAAGGAAGGGAGGTAAGAAAAAAGATGGAATGAGCCAAATACAAATTCACTTATCACACAGTTTTAACTCAAGACAACTATGGTGAAGGTCAAAACTAGGTCATCTTGCTCCAGGCCATTACACACAATAACATGGCGTGGTCTTTTGAATACATGATGCAGTGCTGTACATTAGACCAGTTCTCATTACCAATATAGATGGCAGTAATATCATTGTAAATGTGGAGGATGTGTGTGTATTTTTAAATGTGCCCACTCAGATGACAAACTGAGGGGTCCTCACAAAAGAAATGCAAATAGGAAAGTCTCCCTTTAACATCTAGAAAAAAATTCTAGAAACTTTTCAATTTTATTCACATACATTTAGTTGTTTCACAACTATAACTGATCCACTAATTTTGGCCAGACATTTTGGAGGTTTATTTCGTTACAATAAGAAAACATAAGGTAAGTTCATTGCCTCAAAGCATAAAACCCTGGATTATCATTATCACAATAGTATCATCTCTGCATATGTCAGGAAGCACATTTAGTGTCTGGTTATAAAGAGAATAGTTTATAAAAACGCCTTAATATGACATAATTTTTACTTTAATTCCACACAAAACTTTTTTGCAAACTTTCAAAAAATAAAACTCCTCTCCCCAGACTGACAGAGCATTTATATTTAAGAGGCAGAATATATTTTTCCAGATAAATTAAGGAAATATCATTGATATTAATTAGTCTTAATATTATGTAGACATTTACCTGGTGAATATATTCTATACAGACCTGTGTCTGGAACGTAAGTTATAATTTATTTGTAATGAAATAAATTATAATTTAGGAAGCATTCAAGAGAATAAAGCAGTGATGGAGCCAGTGAATAAAACACTGGGACCTAGTGAGTTTCTCCCTCAAATCTCTGTCATGCGCATTCAGAATCCCAGATTCTTCCATCACAGTAGGAGTAGGAGGCCCTGATTCTCTTTACACTTGCAGACTATCCATCGACAGTCTGGACTTCTGACGTAAGGCCATTATCTGCCATGCTAGTGCCAGCTCACCACTGTCAATGCCTCTCGTTGGTGTCTGGAACTCTTCGGGCTTTTTAGTTTTTCACATCCCATGTTGTGTTTTTGAGTAATAGAAAGGTTACACAACAAAAAATAAAAATTCTGCTAACACACCAAGTCCTTCCATTACACCAAGGGATAGGATCCCACTTCTTGGTGACCCCATGGAGTAAAGAGTAGTAGATAGGCCAGGCGCAGTGGCTCATGCCTGTAATCCCAGCACTTTAGAAGGCGAGATGGGTGGATCGCTTGAGGTCAGGAGTTCGAGACCAGCCTGGCCAAAATGGTGAAACCCCGTCTCTACTAAAATTACAAAAATTAGCCGGGCGTGGTGGTGGGCACCTGTAATCCCAGCTACTCAGGAGGCTGAGGCACGAGAATCGCTTGAACCCGGGAGGCAGAAGTTGCAGTGAGCTGAGATGGCGCCACCGCGACAGGACGAGACTCCATTTCAAGAAAAAAAAAAAGAGGAGATAAACCAGTAAGGAGTTTCAACGTGCAGAAATATAAGTAGGAAGGTAAATGTACTTGGTTTTTTGTTTGCTTTTTGTTTGTTTGTTTTTCTGAGACAGAGTCTTGCTCTGTCGCCCAGGCTGGAGTGCAGTGGCGCGATCTCGGCTCCTGGGTTCACGCCATTCTCCTGCCTCAGCCTCCCGAGTGGCTGGGACTACAGGCGCCACCACGCCCGGCTAATTTTTTGGTATTTTTAGTAGAGACCGGGTTTCACCGTGTTAGCCAGGATGGTCTCGATCTCCTGACCTCGTGATCTGGCAGCCTCAGTCTCCCAAAGTGCTGGGATTACAGGCGTGAGCCACCACGCCCAGCCGTATATGTGTATTTTTTAATGTGTCCATTCATGTGGTAAACCCAGGAATCCTCACAAAAGAAATATAAATCAGAAATGATGAGAAAATCGCAGAAAGTAATAAACTAGCAGTTAGTTAATAACATGATACTGTAATTTTTATTAGAATATTAGGGTGCACAAAATTAATTATTTTCTCCGTATTAATCAGTTCTAGTCAGACTTTTATCCAGATGCCCTGTATTAGGTTCTGTAAAAGAGAAAAGAATAACTCAGGGCAGATTCAGGACATGGCACCAAGATGATTAACATGCTGGGAAAAGCTGAGGGGAGGTTTAATTATTGTCTTCAGGTGTGTGAGGGGCTCCCACACAGAGTACAGTGGCCACTGGAGAATGGAAGTGAAGCCATGTTTCAGTATAAAGCATTAAACCTAAGAAAATATTTTTTGGCTTTAAATATTGTTGAATAATTGATTCAAACAATGCATTGGATTAAGGAATCACTTTTGAAGATCTTTCAAAATTAGATAGTTTTTCATCTCTCTAAGAAAGGAATGGGTAAAATGGCTTCTCTAATTTCTCTAGTTTGTTAATTTCTCTAACCTAGTCTCTACTTCTCTAATTTTTTTAATCGCGTCCATTCTTGATTATCTGTGACTTTTTTTCTGTAAAGCTGAGATTTAAACATAACATACCCGATCTTGCTTTGGAAGTTCTCCAACTGAAAAGCATCACAATATTGAGATTATATTCTCAACAATTATAAAATGAATTTTTAACTTTGACAGTCCCAGTAAGAACTTAAAGTTTGTCGTGAAGCAGGAACATGTAAAGAAAACCAGTCAAAACCAAGATGTTCTGGTAACATTGATGTGTTTCACTCTCCCAACCCCTGCTGAGTCTCTTTAACCCAGTAAAGTGGAGTAATTTCATAATGGCACAAACAGGACACAACTGGAAAAAGAAAGGAAATAACTGGATGTCATGATGAAGCTTTCCTTTTAAAAGTTTTTAAATCCTTTTTTGTTCATTGTCAGGGACAAAGGACCTCAAGGAGATGAACTGCTGTTTCCTTGTTATTCCCTCCCCAAACATCTAACAAGCACTTCAAGTGATTCTCCTACCTCAGCCTCCCAAGTAGCTGGGATTACAGGCATGCGCCACTACACCCAGCTAATTTTTGTATTTTTAGCAGAGACGAGGTTTCACCGTGTTGGACAGGCTGGTCTCGAACTCCTGACCTCAGGTGATCCTCCCACCTCAGCCTCCCAAAGTGCTGGGATTACAGGCATGAGCCACCACACCTAGCCCATATCTTAGATATTTTCCTAAGCAAAAATATTTACCTATAGCTGTTTCTGTAGAGACAGAATAACACAGTGCAGGATGACGTTTAACTAAATTATGCAAGCTACTGAATTACTATTGCTACTATTTTTTCTTAAGTGTGTTCTTATATGCTCTTACAGATTTAGCCTAGAGTCTTACACGTAGTAAATACTCAGTAAGTATCAGAGATTTATTTAGGAAGGAGGGAGGTGTCTTAATCTGCAAAGTTTCTCTATTTTGTTTTGCTTGCTAAAGTCAGACAGGCTCAAAAAATTATAAACTTTTGCTCTTTGAAAGATTCTGCTTACAAAATAATGACATAACCCCCAGAGTAAAAACAAGCATTCGCAAAACATGTATCAGATAAAAGACTTGAATCCGAGACAAATAAATAACTCTCACAACTTAATAATAAGACATATTGCCTAGTTTTTTTAAATAAAAAAAGATTTGAACAAAAATTTCCCCAAGAAGATTTACGGATGGTAAATACACACATGAAAAAGATGTTCACCATCACTAGTCAATACAGAAATGCAAATTAAAGCTACAATGAGATACCATTACACACCAAGGAGAATAGCAAAAAATTTTTAACTGACGTACCAAGTGTTGGCAAGGCTGCAAAGCAACTGCAGCTCTCATTTGCTGCTGGAATGTAGAATGTTTCAGCCACTTTGGAAAATAATTTGTCAGTCTTATATAGCTAAGCATGCATTGACTATTTGACCTATCAATCCCATTTCTAAGTATTTGCCCAAGAGAAATGAAAAAATATGTGCACATAAAGACCTGTAAGCTAATTTTTATAGTAGACTTATTAATCATTGTTAAAAACTGGAAAGAACTCAAAATGTTCGTGAACAGGCAAATGGATAGACAAATTGTGAAAAATTACATGATGGAAATTACTCAGAAAACAAACACAAAAAACCAACTATTGTTACATGCAACAACATGGATGGATCTTAAAAACAACATGCTAAGCAAAATGAGTCAGACACACACAAAAAGCCACATATTATTTAATTTATGTGACACTCTGAAAAAGGCAAAATTATAGGAACAGAAAACAGATAAATGATTATTAGAGGCTGGGAATAAGGGAGAGATTACACAGAAGCATGACAGAGCCTTTAGGCGTAATGGAAATATTCTATATCTAAATTGGGGTGGAGATTACATCACTGTACACTTTTTTGAAGACTTCAAAAATTATAAATCAAAAATGGATAATTTTTACTATACGTAAATTATACCTCAATAGACCTGATTTTTGCAAAAAAGGATATATACGTACGAATGCTCATTCTGTGCCATACAAAGATGGAGTCAAGCAGCTTATCTTCCAATGGTGATGAGAACTGCTAGGAAGGATTAGATCATGTGCCACAATTGCATTCCATTTCGCTAGTTGACTCTAAGCCATTAGGGCACTTTAAAAGAAACAACCACCATCCACAACCGCCATGAATCAGCACTACCCCACCGCCACCCCCAGTCACATAACCAAGCTTTTCACATTTTATTTGGTTTGACTTTTTGCTTTTTTTTTTTTCCTTTAAGTGTTAAATTGTCAAGGTGGTGGCCCAATCACCCCCACCTGTCCTAACATGTTTCACATGCCCTTTACAGGATTTTAAACTTAACTGAAGTCATTTTCTAAAGGGCAATAATGGAAATGTTATGGGCAGATTGCAGTGCATAGCGCATGGTAAAGCTTTTACTTAAATGGATCCTGCCCACAAAAGTAGGAACCCTAACATCACCACAGCAGGCCCACAGCAGTGATGGCTGTGGGAAAAAAAAATCATCCGGAGGATTCATTTCCACCTTATTTTAGACCTTTTGCTGTAATTCCTTATATAAAAATTTATTTTTTTCCTTGACCATTAATACTGATAATTATATCTGTATTTCTTAAGAATATTATGAGTTGCCATTTCTGCATAGTAGCAGATTAAATTTATTCACCTTACGGATATATTATTATCACAGATAATAACTGCAGCATGATAATTATCATTAATTATTCATTTGGATTAAGAGGCAAATAGGCTTGTATTCAAGGGTCTTCCAAAGCACTGTTCATTGTTTCTGAGCCCTGTGTGCCAGTGTGACTAATTCATACTCTTTTCTGAGCCACTGTTGACATCTGACGGGTCCCATATGTATTTATTTGAAAATATAATAAAAGGAATGAGTGCACCATATCAGGATGGAGTCACTAAAACAGACATATGGTTTCTTTTTTGCCCTGTAAGTGAGGGTATGCAATCTTCTGTTAAAGTCAGGCTGTTGTGAGCATTGCTTCAGTAGTATGTATTCCCTTTCTGTGCATCCTTGACTCAGACTATTTAAGCTCATATAAACTTGTGTATTTACATAATAGCTTTTTGCAAAAATAATAATGTGGTAAGAGACTTACTTTATCCTTCATTGAGCAAAGGGTTGTTTGTGCTCCCACTTGAAGCCCCTTGAGTTGAATATGAAAAAAAAAGCCTCTGCAAAGTTTATAAAATCTGTAGAGAAATTAAGAAGAGAAGGGAGATGGAAAAATAAAAGATGATGTATCTTACAAACATAATTTTTTTTTATTTTTCTAGCTAACATACACCAAAATTGAGATATGTGTGTATTTACAGAGTCTCTTTTGTATTTTCTCTTGGTCTTAGTCTTTACTTCTTTGTAATCTGTCATTCATATTTATTCTTTTAAAGCAGATATAAAATGGCAGTTTGAAAACTATGCCAGTGAAGCTGATTTTGAAGATAGGATGCAGTTCTTCAGTGTCTTTAACATAGCTAGGACTGCATTTAAAATGACTGCAGGATTTTTTCTTATTTTCTTTCTTTGTCTCTTTTGGTGATGCAAGAAAGAGGCTAATATATTGTGCTAAGTGTTGCTTTTTAAAGAATTTTTTTTTTTTTTGCTTATATTTGTCAATATATTCTTATGAGATCATTTGTTTCCTCTTCATAACATTCCTTTCAGGTACTATAGGGCAGCTAGGATCATTCCCATTTTTAGATAGGAAATTAAGTTAGCAGAAGATTAAGTAGTATTTAATGAGGAGTATACAGTGGTGAGACTAAATCAGGAACCCACATCTCCTGATCCGCAATTCCTCTTTCGGCGACTCTCTGAGTGCAGCTGTGAATAGTCTGATGTGAATGATGAAGAAACTTAGGAAAGAGCTTTGAAAACTCTGCCAGATGGAACTGCACCAAATTTCAGAGCAAGAAGGTATCTCAGGAGTGGTGGCCATGAGGCTTTGCTGGTATAACTCAATGCAGCTTTTTTAACATTTTTATTGTGATAAGAACATGTGACAAGATCTACCCTCTTAACAGATTTTTAAATGCACAATACAACATTATAATCTTCAGTCACAATGTTCAGCAGATCTCCAGAAGGTATTCATCTTGCATAACTGAAACTTTATACTCATTGATTAGCAACAGGCTTCAACTAATCATCCCCTCCCCCAGCCTCCACTCCTGTTTTACACCTACTAACAATTTGAGTTTGGTCATTCAAGTCTAACAGAAGGCTGATGTCCAGAAACACCTTCGTGAGCAGTATATTCATGCTATTATAATGCAGGCCTTATTCTATTCTTGAGTAGAATTTCCACTTTTAATTTATCATACTTATAATAACAATAATTAGTACTTATTAAACACTTACTATATGCCAATAACTTCATTAAGCACATTATCTGCAGACAAAATGGGTGTCCAAGCAGCTTTTCCTTACCAAGGACCCGTTTAGGAAGAAGTCCCAATGCATAAAAAATCAATTTCTTTGACAATTAACAAAGTAGGAGAATGTCTTTAAAATATTTATCCTTGGGGATTTAAGTCTAATATCCATTTACTCATCTGTTAAGTTTTGTTTGTTTGTTTTTGTTACTGTTTTTTGTTTTGTTTTTTGTTTGTTTGTTTGTTTGTTTTAAGACGGAGTTTCACTCTTGTCGCCCAGGCTGGAGTGCAATGGTGCAATCTTGGCTCACTGCAACCTCCACCTCCCAGGTTCAAGCGATTCTTCTTCCTCAGCCTCCCCAGTAGCTGGGATTACAGGCATGCACCAACATGCCCGACTAATTTCGTGTTTTTAGTAGAGACAGGGTTTCTCCATGTTGGCCAGACTGGTCTGGAACTCCCGACCTCAGGTGATCCGCCTGCCTTGGCCTCCCAAAGTGCTGGGACTACAGGCGTGAGCCACCACACCCGGCCTCGTCTGTAAGTATTTACTGAGTACCCAGTATGGGACCAGGGTCTACTCTAGGAAACAGAGATATAACCGAATAGCACAGAGCCCCTGTCCTTGGACAGTGTTCATTTTCATGATGGAGACAGATGATACACAAGTATTTCATAGTAGTGAAAAGTGCTAAGTAGGAAAATCGTGTAGAGTAAAGCAATGAAGAGGGACAGGTGTAAAAGGGGGCAACTCCTTAGGATGGGGTGATCAGGGAAGGCACTGTTAGCTGATGGGGAATGAGCAAAGATGTGCATAAAGGGAAACAGCAATGCAGGTAGATGCTGGGGTGCATCCCAGGCAGAGGGCCAGCAAATGCAAAGATATTCACATGAATGCATGTTTCAAAAATGAATATGAACCCACAAAGCATCTTGCATCAGATAAAAAATGTTCTTGCCGACTATATTTAATTTGTTGTCAGCCTCTTTAATTTTCCTCTGAACATTTTTTTCTTTCTTGCTCTGAATATGATTTTCTTCTGGTTGAGTCTCTTTGATCTGATTGTTTATCTATTTCTTTTTGGCCATGTTATGTTGGCATTTCTGTCAACCCCCTAAAAACAGATTCTAAAAATGGAATATTCTTCTAATCGTCATGATCTCTAGAATATAAAATAACCTGGCACCATGAAAAAAAAATGGAGTAGTGAATTACTGTTGCTTTATAATTGGATTACAATAAGTTTTGATGGATTGGAGGAAGAGACAAAATTACATGAATTGTCTCTCCTCATGCTTTTCCTTTTTCTGGAAGGAAAACTGACTTTACCTCAATCATACTTATTAAAAAATAATAGTTAAGAGTTAGCATTTCTTGAAAATCTGCGTTGTGCCAAGGGCTTCACTAAACATTTCACGTGTTATTTCCAATCATAATAGTAGCCCTGTGTGGCAGGTTACTGTCACCTTCTGAAAACCCCATTTTCAGAGAAGGAAACTGAGGTTCAGATAGAATAACTGTCCAAGGGTTGTCCAGGCAAACTTCCCTTGCACCAAAGCTTGTGCTCTTAATCATCATCTCCTGCGTGCAGTAAGAGATGGCAACTATCTTTAAATATAGGGTGATATTATCAGATTCCTATTTAAAATAGAGAATTCTGGTAGCCATGTGAACGGTGGATTAAGGATGAGCCTGGAGTTAAGAGAAGAGGGAGATGATTCCAGTTTCGAAAGAAGACAGGACCTTAAACTAACAGTGTTGTCAGTAGTGATTACAGTAACAATCAGTTACCCTCTGGAGTATGCCTATTGAAGCTCCCATCCAAAATCAGGTGAATGTGGGTAGAAATGTGTATTCAAATAAGCCACAAAATAATAAATGTACTATATTTTATGTAATCTCCCTATAGCAAAAGAACACTGCCCTCTATTGCTTTTTGTCTCAGGGCTCTCAATGGTCCAAATGATGTCAGAGAAGAGGGTGCTGTTAGTCAATGGGCACAGCTGTTGAGAGTTTCAAATGTGCCACAGGGTGACCAATAAAGGGGTCCCAACTAAACTATCAGTTTACCACTAGCACTCAGAAATCTCAACCAGTTCTTCTAAAGCCAATATAGGCTTCAGCGCTCTGCCCTGACAGAAGTGATAAAGAGGCTCTGATATGTTTGCACAATTGCACCATTTTCAAACTTTATTGAAAATGTTAGTAACTGTAATTCAGTTCTCTAATCTAAATCGCCATACAGAACACATTGAATATACTTTTATGCCTTGCTCTTGAAAAGATGGAATAATTATGAATATAAATGGCTTCTGCTTCCTTCATGTGAAAAAAGCATTATATACATATAAGTCAAATAAAGTAAAAGGGAGAAATAGATGCAGTGTAATAATGATAAGAAACTATAATATCTGCATGGAGGTAGATACCAAATTGCCACTCATTACTCGAATAGGGAGAAAGTTAGTAGGCAATTAGCAACAGAAGTGCCAAGTGCAAGGATAATTTGTAAGACAACAATAAACATAGTCTATACCCAATGAGATAGAAAGAAAGAGCAAGCAGTAGTGCCAATAAAACAAGCAGAGCAGCCATGGGAGCGACTGCGTTTACATAATGAGAAAATAAAACAAGTCTTCCCCATTCCTCATCATAACTTCCAGCATCTTGATTTTCAGCTTGTTCTGGACCAGAAGTAGCAATAGCCAAGTTCAGAAAATTGTAGTAATCATAAGCCACATGATGTGAAAACACTTGCTTTCAGCTAACTAAATATCATCAGTGCCTAGTCACAGGGCAAGGAAACCACTTCTAAAAAGGAGCTAAAAATTAGAAAGCAATAGTTCATTCCTTGAAAATCAAAGAACAATAATTTTGCAATCGTGAAGAAGGACCGAAGGAATATAAATCAGCCCACTCAGGAAGATTCCTATACATGGGAAATTATTATGATGAAGCATGTTTAAAATAAAAGTTTAAAATAAACAATGATTGAAAGAACATCTAACCCATCAACTAATTTTCGGTATTTACCTGACCCAAAGCATTCAAGACCAATTAAAATGACCTAGTTTCAATGATCTTTAGAAAGACTTTACCATTTCCCTCAAAAATCTATTCATTGTGTGAGAAAGCTTTTAACATGTGTGTAGGCATAACTATTTTTATATGTCATATAAACAATGAATGAAGACTGCAAATCATATTACGTATAAACATTTCTTCAATAATTTAAGAAATTCTTAAATGTATACACATTTCATATACATTATCTCATTTAATCTTCACAGCCCTATAAAGTAGGTACTATTCTTTTTTTTTTTTTAATTATACTTTAAGTTTTAGGGTGCATGTGCACAATGTGCAGGTTAGTTACATATGTATACATGTGCCATGCTGGTGTGCTGCACCCATTAACTCATCATTTAGCATTAGGTATATCTCCTAATGCTATCCCTCCCCTCTCCCCCGGCCCCACAACAGTCCCCAGAGTGTGATGTTCCCCTTCCTGTGTTCATGTGTTCTCATTGTTCAATTCCCACCTATGAGTGAGAACATGTGGTGTTTGGTTTTTTGTCCTTGTGATAGTTTACTGAGAATGATGATTTCCAATTTCATCCATGTCCCTACAAAGGACATGAACTCATCCTTTGTTATGGCTGCAGAGTATTCCATGGTGTATATGTGCCACATTTTCTTAATCCAGTCTATCATTGTTGGACATTTGGGTTGGTTCCAAGTCTTTGCTATTGTGAATAGTGCCGCAATAAACGTAAGTGTGCATGTGTCTTTATAGCAGCATGATTTATAATCCTTTGGGTATATACCCAGTAATGGGATGGCTGGGTCAAATGGTATTTCTAGTTCTAGATCCCTGAAGAATCGCCACACTGACTTCCACAATGGTTGAACTAGTTTACAGTCCCACCAACAGTGTAAAGTGTTCCTATTTCTCCACATCCTCTCCAGCACCTGTTGTTTCCTGACTTTTTAATGATCGCCATTCTAACTGGTGTGAGATGGTATCTCATTGTGGTTTTGATTTGCATTTCTCTGATGGCCAGTGATAGTGAGCATTTTTTCATGTGTTTTTTGGCTGCATAGATGTCTTCTTTTGAGAAGTGTCTGTTCATGTCCTTCGCCCACTTTTTGATGGGGTTGTTTGTTTTTTTCTTGTAAATTTGTTTGAGTTCATTGTAGATTCTGGATATTAGCCCTTTGTCAGATGAGTAGGTTGCAAAAATTTTCTCCCATTTTGTAGGTTGCCTGTTCATTCTGATGGTAGTTTCTTTTGCTATGCAGAAGCTCTTTAGTTTAATGAGATCCCATTTGTCAATTTTGTCTTTTGTTGCCATTGCTTTTGGTGTTTTAGACATGAAGTCCTTGCCCATGCCTATATCCTGAATGGTAATGCCTAGGTTTTCTTCTAGGGTTTTTATGGTTTTAGGTCTAACGTTTAAGTCTTTAATCCATCTTGAATTAATTTTTGTATAAGGTGTAAGGAAGGGATCCAGTTTCAGCTTTCTACATAGGTCTAGCCAGTTTTCCCAGCACCATTTATTAAATAGGAAATCCTTTCCCCATTGCTTGTTTTTCTCAGGTTTGTCAAAGATCAGATAGTTGTAGATATGCGGCGTTATTTCTGAGGGCTCTGTTCTGTTCCATTGATCTATATCTCTGTTTTGGTACCAGTACCATGCTGTTTTGGTTACTGTAGCCTTGTAGTATAGTTCAAAGTCAGGTAGCGTGATGCCTCCAGCTTTGTTCTTTTGGCTTAGGATTGACTTGGCAATGCGGGCTCTTTTTTGGTTCCATATGAACTTTAAAGTAGTTTTTTCCAATTTTGTGAAGAAAGTCATAGGTAGCTTCATGGGGATGGCATTGAATCTATAAATTACCTTGGGCAGTATGGCCATTTTCATGATATTGATTCTTCCTACCCATGAGCATGGAACATTCTTCCATTTCTTTGTATCCTCTTTTATTTCATTGAGCCGTGGTTTGTATTTCTCCTTGAAGAGGTCCTTCACTTCCCTTGTAAGTTGGATTCCTAGGTATTTTATTCTCTTTGAAGCAATTGTGAATGGGAGTTCACTCATGATTTGGCTCTCTGTTTGTCTGTTGTTGGTGTATAAGAATGCTTGTGATTTTTGTACATTGATTTTGTATCCTGAGACTTTGCTGAAGTTGCTTATCAGCTTAAGGAGATTTTGGGCTGAGACAATGGGGTTTTCTAGATATACAATCATGTCATCTGCAAACAGGGACAATTTGACTTCCTCTTTTCCTAATTGAATACCCTTTATATCCTTCTCCTGCCTAATTGCCCTGGCCAGAACTTCCAGCACTATGTTGAATAGGAGTGGTGAAAGAGGGCATCCCTGTCTTGTGCCAGTTTTCAAAGTGAATCCTTCCAGTTTTGCCCATTCAGTATGATATTGGCTGTGGGTTTGTCATAGATAGCTCTTATTATTTTGAGATATGTCCCATCAATACCTAATTTATTGAGAGTTTTTAGCATGAAGGTTGTTGAATTTTGTCAAAGGCCTTTTCTGCATCTATTGAGATAATCATGTGGTTTTTGTCTTTGGTTCTGTTTATATGCTGGATTACATTTATGGATTTGCGTATATTGAACCAGCCTTGCATCCCAGGGATGAAGCCCACCTGATCATGCTGGATAAGCTTTTTGATGTGCTGCTGGATTCGGTTTGCCAGTATTTTATTGAGGATTTTTGCATCAATGTTCATCAAGGATATTGGTCTAAAATTCTCTTTTTTGGTTGTGTCTCTGCCCGGCTTTGGAATCAGGATGATGCTGGCCTCATAAAATGAGTTAGGGAGGATTCCCTCTTTTTCTATTGATTGGAATAGTTTCAGAAGGAATGGTACCAGTTCCTCCTTGTACCTCTGGTAGAATTCAGCTGTGAATCCATCTGGTCCTGGACTCTTTTTGGTTGGTAAGCTATTGATTATTGCCACAATTTCAGATCCTGTTATTGGTCTATTCAGGGATTCAACTTCTTCCTGGTTTAGTCTTGGGAGGGTGTATGTGTCCAGGAATTTACCAATTTCTTCTAGATTTTCTAGCTTATTTGCATGGAGGTGTTTGTAGTATTCTCTGATGGTAGTTTGTATTTCTGTGGGATCAGTGGTGATATCCCCGTTATCATTTTTTATTGCGTCTATTTGATTCTTCTCTCTTTTCTTCTTTATTAGTCTTGCTAGCAGTCTATCAATTTTGTTGATCCTATCAAAAAACCAGCTCCTGGATTCATTAATTTTTTGAAGGGTTTTTTGTGTCTGTATTTCCTTCAGTTCTGCTCTGATTTTAGTTATTTCTTGCCTTCTGTTAGCTTTTGAATGTGTTTGCTCTTGCTTTTCTAGTTCTTTTAATTGTGATATTAGGGTGTCAATTTTAGATGTTTCCTGCTTTCTCTTGTGGGCATTTAGTGCTATAAATTTCCCTCTACACACTGCTTTAAATGTGTCCCAGAGATTCTGTTATGTTGTGTCTTTGTTCTCGTTGGTTTCAAAGAACATCTTTATTTCTGCCTTCATTTTGTTATGTACCCCGTAGTCATTCAGGAGCAGGTTGTTCAGTTTCCATGTAGTTGAGTAGTTTTGAGTGAGTTTCTTAATCCTGAGTTCTAGTTTGATTGCACTGTGGTCTGAGAGACAGTTTGTTATAATTTCTGATCTTTTACATTTGCTGAGGAGAGCTTTACTTCCAACTATGTGGTCAATTTTGAAATAGGTGTGGTGTGGTACTGAAAAAAATGTATATTCTGTTGATTTGGGGTGGAGAGTTCTGTAGATGTCTATTAGTTCCGCTTGGTGCAGAGCTGAGTTCAATTCCTGGGTATCCTTGTTAACTTTCTGTCTCGTTGACCTGTCTAATGTTGACAGTGGGGTGTTAAAGTCTCCCATTATTATTGTGTGGGAGTCTAAGTGTCTTTGTAGGTCACTCAGGACTTGCTTTATGAATCTTGGTGCTCCTGTATTGAGTGCATATATATTTAGGATAGTTAGCTCTTCTTGTTGAATTGATCCCTTTACCATTATGTAATGGCCTTCTTTGTCTCTTTTGATCTTTGTTGGTTTAAAGTCTGTTTTATCAGAGACTAGGATTGCAACCCCTGCCTTTTTTTGTTTTCTATTTGCTTGGTAGATCTTCCTCCATCCTTTTATTTTGAGCCTATGTGTGTCTCTGCACGTGAGATGGGTTTCCTGAATGCAGCACACTGATGGGTCTTGACTCCTTATCCAATTTGCCAGTTGTGTCTTTTAATTGGAGCATTTAGTCCATTTACATTTAAAGTTAATATTGTTATGTGTGAATTCGATCCTGTCATTATGAAGTTAGCTGGTTATTTTGCTCCTTAGTTGATGCAGTTTCTTCCTAGTCTCGATGGTCTTTACAATTTGGCATGATTTTGCAGTGGCTGGTACCAGTTGTTCCTTTCCATGTTTAGTGTTTCTTTCAGGAGCTCTTTTAGGTCAGGCCTGGTGGTGACAAAAATCTCTCAGCATTTGCTTGTCTGTAAAGTATTTTATTTCTCCTTCACTTATGAAGATTAGTTTGGCTGGATATGAAATTCTGGGTTGAAAATTCTTTTCTTTAAGAATGTTGAATATTGGCCTCCACTCTCTTCTGGCTTGTAGAGTTTCTGCTGAGAGATCCGCTGTTAGTCTGATGGGCTTCCCTTTGTGGGTAACCCGACCTTTCTCTCTGGCTGCCCTTAACATTTTTTCCTTCATTTCAACTTTGGTGAATCTGACAATTATGTGTCTTGGAGTTGCTCTTCTCGAGGAGTATCTTTGTGGCGTTCTCTGTATTTCCTGAATCTGAATGTTGGCCTGCCTTGCTAGACTGGGGAAGTTCTCCTGGAAAATATCCTGCAGTGTTTTCCAGCTTGGTTCCATTCTCCCCGTCACTTTGAGGTACACCAATCAGACGTAGATTTGGTCTTTTCACATAGTCCCATATTTCTTGGAGGCTTTGCTCGTTTCTTTTTATTCTTTTTTCTCTAAACTTCCCTTCTCACTTCATTTCATTCATTTCATCTTCCATCGCTGATACCCTTTCTTCCAGTTGATCGCATCAGCTCCTGAGGTTTCTGCATTCTTCACGTAGTTCTCAAGCCTTGGCTTTCAGCTCCATCAGCTCCTTTAAGCACTTCTCTGTGTTGGTTATTCTAGTTATACATTCATCTAAATTTTTTTCAAAGTTATCAACTTCTTTGCATTTGGTTTGAATTTCCTCCTGTAGCTCGGATTAGTTTGATTGTCTGAAGCCTTCTTCTCTCAACTCATCAAAGTCATTCTCCGTCCAGCTTTGTTCTGTTGCTGGTGAGGAGCCGCATTCCTTTGGAGGAGGAGAGGTGCTCTGCTTTTTAGAGTTTCCAGTTTTTCTGCTCTGTTTTTTCCCCAGTTTTTCCTCTGTTTTGTGGTTTTGTCTACTTTTGGTCTTTGATGATGGTGATGTACAGATGGGTTTTTGGTGTGGATGTCCTTTCTGTTTGTTAGTTTTCCTTCTAACAGACAGGATCCTCAGCTGCAGGTCTGTTGGAGTTTGCTAGAGGTCCACTCCAGACCCTGTTTGTCTGGGTACCAGTAGTGGTGGCTGCAGAACAGCGGATTTTCATGAACCGCGAGTGCTGCTGTCTGATCGTTCCTCTGGAAGTTTTGTTTCAGAGGAGTACAATGTGCAAAACTTTGTACTTTCTGAGGTGTCAGTCTGCCCCTACTGGAGGGTGCCTCCCAGTTAGGCTGCTCAGGGGTCAGGGGTCAGGGGTCAGGGACCCACGTGAGGAGGCAGTCTGCCCGTTCTCAGATCTCCAGTTGCGTGCTGGGAGAACCACTGCTCTCTTCAAAGCTGTCAGACAGGGACATTTAAGTCTGCAGAGGTTACTGCTGTCTTTTTGTTTGTCTGTGCCCTGCCCCCAGAGGTGGAGCCTACAGAGGCAGGCAGGCCTCCTTGAGCTGTGGTGGGCTCCACCCAGTTAGAGCTTCCCGGCTGCTTTGTTTATCTAAGCAAGCCTGGGCAATGGTGGGCGCCCCTCCCCCAGCCTTGCTGCCGCCTTGCAGTTTGATCTCAGACTGCTGTGCTAGCAATCAGCAAGACTCCGTGGGCATAGGACTCTCCAAGCCATGTGCGGGATATAATCTCCTGGTGTGCCATTTTTTAAGCGCATCGGAAAAGTGCAGTATTAGGGCAGGAGTGACCCGATTTTCTAGGTGCCGTCTGTCACCCCTTTCTTTGACTAGGAAAGGGAACTCCCTGACCCCTTGCGCTTCCTGAGTGAGGCAATGCCTCGCCCTGCTTCAGCTCGCGCATGGTGTGCTGCACCCACTGTCCTGCACCCACTGTCTGGCACTCCCTAGTGAGATGAAACTGGTACCTCAGATGGAAATGCAGAAATTACCCGTCTTCTGCGTCACTCACGCTGGGAGCTATAGACCGGAACTGTTCCTGTTTGGCCATCTTGGCTGCCCTCTATTCTTAAATATCATATATGAGAAACCGAGGCTTAAAATTTTGTTTTGTTCAAAGGGAAGCTAGAATTTAAATCCAGGTCTATCAGATTGTTAAAGCTGAGCTCATAACAATAGAGAACAATATAAATTATAGTATAGGAGATCATTCTGGAAAATAACAAGGACCTAGTGTCAGCCTAAGTTAGAATCCTGCCTCTGTTCATGCCCCTCTTCTGTTTAAAACCATTCGACAGCTTAATGTATGTAATCCTCACGATAGCCCTATGAGAGAAGAAGAATGATGAGGAGGAGGAGGAGAAGAGGAGCAGGATGGAAATGGTGGTGATGATAATGAAAATGTTCATTTTACACGTGAGAAAAATTGAGAGGTTAGGCCAAGTGTGGTGGCTCATGCCTGTAATACCAGCACTTTGGGAGGCCGAGGCGGGTGTATCACGAGGTCAGGGGTTCAAGACCATCCTGGCCAAGATGGTGAAACCCTGTCTCTACTAAAAAAAAAAAAAAAAAAAAAAAAAAAAAAAAAAAAAAAAATAGCCAGGCATGGTGGCGGGTTCCTGTACTCCCAGCTACTTGGGAGTCTGAGGCAGAGAATTGCTTGAACCTGAGAGGCAGAGGTTGCATTGTGCTGAGATCATGCCACTGCACTCCAGCCTGGGTGACAGTGTCTGTCTCAAAATATAAAAACAACAACAACAAAAACAAAAAAAAATGAAAAATTGAGAGGTTAAGTAACCTGCTCTGAGTCACCTACTAGCTAAACTAGAAGCCAAGTTAATCTGCCTACAAAGCCTATGATTTTAGCCACTCTACTAAAATCCTGGAACATTCTTTCCCCATCTAAGTGTTATCCTTCACATCTCAGTTGTATCAGCTTTCTATTGCTATCCGACAAATGCCACAAACTTAGCTGTCTAAATCATATATGTATATATATGTATATATATATATAGAGAGAGAGAATATATGTATAGAATAAATATATACTCTAAATCATACATATATATATGTATTCTCTTAACAGTTTCCATGAGCCAAGAGTCTAAATGCATCCTAGTTAGGTCCTTTGATCAGGGTCTCACAAGACTTCAGTCTAGGTATTAGCTGGTCTACATTCTTTTCTGGAGCCCAGAGTCCTCTTCTAAGCTCACATGGTTAGCAGAATGTAATTCCCTGTGGTTGTAGGACCGAGGTTTCTGCTTTCGTACTGGCTGTCAGCCAGGAACTTCTCTCAGATTCTAGAGGCCACCACAGTTCCTTGTCATGTGGCCTGGCCTACTCACTGACTCTCTCACAATATGGCAGCTTACTTCATCAAAGCCAGGAGGCAAATCTCTCTCTCTTCTAGTCTCTTTTAAAGAGCTTACCTGATTAGGTCAGACCCACTCAAGGCAGTCTCCCTTTGGTTAACTTAAAGTCAATTAATGAGAAGCCTTAATAATATATGCTAAGTCCCCACACCTTTGCCATATAATTTAAGATAATCACAGAAGTTATATCATGTCACCTTTGCCATATTCTATGGATAGAAAGAAGTTACAGGACTTACCCAACACAGTTCAATGGAATTGAACTGTGGAAAAGACAGTTCAATGCCATTACTCATTGGAGATCATCTTAGAATTACACCTACCACATCAGCGTTAACATCTCTTCCTTTAGTACCTTGCTGACCCCTAAAACTGAATTAGTCCCAACTCCCATGTACTTTCCTGCACTTAACCATCATAGAATGTATCCTACAGTATTGCGATGGCTCATTCCCTGCTAAAAGTTAAGCCCTTCCAGCCAGAGATTTTCTCTTGCTCACCAGCGTATCTGCAGCATCCTTCTCAGTCCTTGGCAATTTTTCAGCATGTGACAAATGGAAGCAATTATTATTCACACAACATTCTTCAGAAATATTAGTGCTTTCCAATAAATAAGGTTTAAGTGTCATATTACCTGCTTGGATTTTTACCCAGTTCTCGTATTCAGCCAATATCTTCACAGACACATAACAAGTCAAAAGTTTACATTACACTGACAAATAATATTCCTCATATCGCCGCTAACAGCAGATTTCTGGTTTATTTATTTTCTCGCTGTTTTCTTATAGAGATGCTCTAATGCTTGCAATGCCACTTATATGTTCTAGTTTCACAATGCATTATTAAGTAAGCAGAACTTCAAGCCAAAGTTTTTTTGCATTATATAAAAAGAAAAAAAATTACCGAATCAAAGACTGAAACAGTAGTCCTAAATTCAGGGTTAAAATGAAAAAAGTGTAAACCATGGAAAAATTATATTAGCACAATGTTTTAAAACACCTACAGGCAAGAAAGTCTATGAGGAAAAAAATAAAATATTTTGAAACAAAATAAAGGGCAAAGTTGCAACAGAAAATAGATCCGTAGAGGGGAAAATGTTTTAAAGTCCTCAACCGTAATTCCACAATGGCTTACTCTATCTAGATAAGCAATTCAAATTACAGTGGAAACTGGAAACTGACATTTATCATTCACTTAAAAATCTACAATGCTATGTATCTGCATTCATAGGTAATTTAAATTCCATAATATTACCTTTAAAAAATATGTCTGAAATTTAACTTTTTCACAAGTGGAGACAGTGTATACTTTTTCAGGCTATAGCTGAAACTCCCAGAAGTTTGATCTATGTTACTTTAGCAATTATGCAGGTAAAGAACTACCATGTGGACAATATTTTAATAGTCCTTTGCTCTGTTTCCAGGTAAGTCTATCACTGGGATAACCACAAACATGTGACAGTGCTGTAATTATTAAAGACATAAAGACAGGCTTGGAATTCAGAAGACTTTCAAATGATGGCTTACAGCAGTCTTTTAAAAAGTTATAAGGAAACTCCATAACCAGTTTATTGCTCCATTAGGAAAAAAAAAAAGATATCAGCTGTCTCCAACATGACTTAAGGATTTTCTCTCAGTGATGGACCTAGCTTCAAAATTCCCAAGAAAGCCTGTAAATCATGCATAAAAGTAGATGTAAGTTTAAATGCTCTGGGCTGCTCAGAGTGGAGAGAGGACCAAAAGATGGAGAAGAAATGTTTGGTCCTTGAAAAGTCAGAGAGTAAATAAATATAAGAAAGTGAGCCTAGAAGAACAGAGTTTATTTCTTATTTTGTGCCTTATCTATGTTTAAAGACAGACCTAGAATATGCTCTGTACCTGGCAATTGTGCTCTCTTGTCCCAGTAAGAATACCATGAAAAAGGAGGATGTACAAGGCCCAGCAAACCTTTTGCAGGCTGAAGAGAAATTGGCAGCATAATGATATCTGAAATCTATATTTTTCAGGCTCTTACAGTAAACTCTGCTTTCTGCTGTCTATTAATAGCTTTCAGTTCTGCAAATCTGTAGTCAAAAGATAGCCAATGTCCATAATGATGACCAGAGGGCTGCAAGAGCTTCCTGCCCCATCAAGAGATGTCACATGTCCTTCAAGCCCTGAGCTCCAACCATTCCTGTCAGGCTTGTGCTATTCAGCACACCTTCTGGGAGGAAGCCCTATGCCTTTCTTAGGGTCATTTCTAGCAGCTCAGAATTCCTCCCCATGCTAGCATGACACTAAGCCCAAAGTAAGGGGCTCCATAAGTACTTGTTGAATTAATGAGTGGAAGTCAATGTTATATCAATTTTTCCCCCTTAAGCTTGTCTTTACTCCTCAGGCTGCAGTGGATAGCACTATTTACTCGTGCATATTGGGGATTTTCCTCTGAATGCTCATGAACTTCACCCTTTCCCAAGGACTCTACACTAAGTGTCCGTATTTTGTCAAAAGGTCTCTTATAATTTCTTTTATACAATACCCACCCCTGCCACCTTACACTCTGATTGCCTGCAACAATATCTGGCACATAGGTGGTGCTCAATACATTTCCCTTACCACATTATCTTTTCTGGGTTGCTATGATACTAATACTACTAATACCCATACACTTTTCTAAATTGCATTAGTCACTGTTTTTCAGACACAACCTAAATTCTTCCCTGTTGTTCTCTCATTTCTTAATGTCCTCCATGCCTTGGTCCATCAGTGAATATTCTCTTTATTCGCAAAGGCCTAGGTCAAATCTCTCTTCCTCCAGGAAGCCTTCTTTGGCTATTAATGTTCTTCCCTACTCCAAACTCCAATACTGCTGAGGCTGATCCTCTATTCCATTAATTCCCCTCACAAAGAAGGCTTAAAATAAAATGTAATAAATAAACATTTTATTTTAGGAATTCGAGTGTTTTATCTTCAAGATGAAAATGACTTTAGATTTAATCATAGAAATTTTGGACATTTGGAATAAGGCTGCTTATTCTCTAATAAAAGCAGAATACAAAGGTAAATATGTTAACTTTACCCAAAGGAATGATCTTTACTCTCAACATTATATAATGACTACAAATCAATTTAATTTGGTAAAAAGAAAGAAAGAAAGAACAGTAACAATTGTGAACATTTTGAGGCAATTTGTTAATTGACTGAATTTTAATTGTTTGTTTATTTTTGTTTGAGATGGAGTCTCACTGTGTTACCCAGGCTGGAGTGCAGTGGTGCAATCTGGGCTCGTTGCAATCTCCACTTCTTGGATTCAAATGATTCTCCTGCCTCAGACTCCCGAGTAGCTGGGATTACAGGCATGCACCACCACACCCAGCTAATTTTTGTATTTTTAGTAAGGATGGGGGTTTCACCATGTTGGCCAGGCTGGTCTCGAACTCTGGACCTCAGGTGATCTGCCTGCCTCGGTCTCCCAAAGTGCTGGGATTACAGGTTTTAGTCATGCGCCTGGCCTGAATTTTAATTTTTAAAATAGCTTTCCCTGTGCTAAACAGAAGAAGGCCTAAGCTTTGGATTTCTGAACAGATAGCACAATACTCCATGTTTATAAAATTGCCCAATCAATTCAATTAGTGAATATTTCTAACACGGTTTGTAAATGGTATGTACAAAAAGGGCTGTTTTTTCCCCCAAGATAACCCAGTTAGGCTTGACAGCTTGTTTATAATAGTACCCTGAAGACACATTCTACAGTGCTCAATTATATAAATATACATTTGAGATACACACTGTGGCTCATAACATTTGTTAAACATCAGAAATATGAAGTCCATCCAGTTAGAGTGTGTTCTTTGTGCCTCTTTAAATAGTATGAAGGGAATGAGTCTCTATACCTTAAAAGTGCATCTATAACATTCTGCTTCAATTAGCATGTCAAACTGTGGAAGTCAGAAAATAATTCAGAGGCTTCAGTGAAGAAAAAATTGGGGGGATCCCAAAAGATATGATGAAAATATATACCAAGAAGAGATGGAATACAAGTTATGGGTAATTCTGAGAGGCACAGGAAAATAGTCCTCTGCTAAGACATACCTTTGCAGGGTTTAAATTTCTACCATTAATGATTCATCCTTTCAGACCAAAACATCCCACAGAAATTATCTATTAAAATGGAAACATCACCTGGAATATGAATACAGATCAGCTATCAGCATCATAGACTCACAAGGGCCAAGAATCTCTGGAAAACCAAGAATTGTAACAATAGCAACAATATAGGATGTTCATGGCTCTTCTCCCACCAATTCCTTAAGAGCCTCCACTCTCTTCAAATTCCTTTGAAATAGCTCCAGAAATTCCCAAAGGGGTTTTCAGCTGCATTCCAGAAATTGCTTCTACTGGTTGCCAAGGTACACCTACCATTTTGGTTATCTTGTAGCTACACTTAAGCAAAGAGATAATGGTGCTATGAGACCACCAGGGACTCTATGATGAAGAACTCTGCCTTCCGAGGTCCCTGCTGCTGAGTGCCTTCAATGTTCAGCTGCTGATGACAGATGCTGAAGGAATTCATATGTTTCCCTTATAGCCAAAGTTCTAGTCAACCAGCACTCTTATGTCTTGAGCCTCAATGTATCAGCATTACAACTTTGCTCACTATTTTATTACAATTCTTGTGTCCCAGGACTCTGGCTTAAATCATTTGAGGTAAGCCATGAGGGCAAGCTTAGTGAGAGCCAAGTGAGAACCTGTGGTATCCCTACTCTCTGACACCAGTTCTTTTCATCTGGGAAATACCTTGTTCTCACATATAAAGATACAAGTAAAGAGATTTTCAGGTTTAAAAAAAAAAGTTGATTAAATATATACCTTTAATTTGATTCTCTCCTAAAACACCCCAAAAACTACAGAAATTCGAGTTATTTAAAACCACAATTTCTTTTGACTTCCACTGTTGCATTTGAGAAGTCTGAACCACTGAGTATTCTTAATTCTTTGCATGTGACCAATTGCTCTTTGTTTTATTTCCAAACTGAAAAAAAATCTGAAAAAATTGCTGTCCATCCTATAACACTGGATAGAGCCGAGATATCAATAAAGTGTCAGATAGAGAAAGACATTTTAAAACATAAAATGGCTCAAAAAAACTTATCTCCCTCAGATGTTTTCTCAGGAAACTATTGGAAGATTTACTAAAACAAAACAACAAAACAAGGCAGTCATACAAGAAAGACAAGAATGAGAGCCAGGAGCAGGAGATCTAACTCAGAGAGGTATATGGAACCTCAGGATGAAGAAATGTTTGCAAACTTCAAGAGCAGTCAGTTCAGGCCAGTGCAGGGCTGGAGATTCTGCGAGAGACTTCTTCAAGAAAATGGAACTGTTGAGGGAGGTTCCAAGATGGCCGAATACAAAGAGCTCCAGTCTACACCTCCCAGCATGAGTGACACAGAAGAGGGATGATTTCTGCATTTCCAACTGAGGTATCGGGTTCATCTCACTGGGGCTTGTCAGACAGTGTGTGCAGCCCACTGAGCGTGAGCCAAAGCAGGGCGGGGCATCACCTCACCTAGGAAGTGCAAGGGGTTGGGGAATTCCCTTTCCTAGCCAAGGGAAGCCATGACAGATGGTGTCTGGAAACTTGGGACCCTCGCACCCCAATACTGCACTTTCCCAACGGTCTTAGCAAACGGCACACCAGGAGATTATATCCCAGGCCTGGCTCAGAGGGTCCCACACCCATGGAGCCTCGATCACTGCTAGCACAGCAGTCTGAGATCAAACTGCAAGGCAGCAGCAAGGCTGGGGGAGGGGCGTCCACCATTGCTGAGGCTTGAGTAGGTAAACAAAGTGGCCAGGAAGCTCGACCTGGGTGGAGCCCACCACAGCTGAAGGGGGCCTACCTGCCTCTGTAGACTCCACCTCTGGGGGCAGGGCATAGCTGCACAAAACACAGCATAAACTTCTGCAGACTTAAATGTCCCTGTCTGACAGCTTTGAAGAGACTAGTAGTTCTCCCAGCACAGAGTTTGAGATCTGAGAACAGACAGACTGCCTCCTAAAGTGGGTCCCTGACCCCCAAGTAGCCTAACTGGGAGACACCTCCCAGTAGGGGCCAACTGACACCACATATGGCTGGGTGCCCCTCTGAGACGAAGCTTCCAGAGGAAGGATCTGGCGGCAATATTTGCTGTTCTGCAATATTTGCTGTTCTGTAGCCTCAGCTGGTGACCCCCAGGCAAACAGGGTCTGAAGTGGACCACCAGCAAACTCCAACAGACATGCAGCTGAGGGTCCTGACTGTTAGAAGGAAAACTAACAAACAGAAAGGACATCCACACCAAAATCCCATCTGTACATAACCATCATCAAAGACCAAAGGTAGATAAAACCACAAAGATGGGAAGAAATCAGAGCAGAAAAGCTGAAAATTCTAAAAACCAGAGCATCTCTTCTCCTCCAAAGGAACGCAACTCCTTTCCAGCAAAGGAACAAAGCTGGATGGAAAAAGACTTTGACGAGTTGAGAGAAGAAGACTTCAGGTGATCAATAATACCAAACTTCTCAGAGCTAAAGGAGGATGTTCGAACCCATTGCAAAGAAGATAAAAACATTGAAAAAAGATCAGACGAATGGCTAACTAGAATAAAGAGCGTAGAGAAGACCTTAAATGACCTGCTGGAGCTGAAAACCATGGCATGGGAAGTATGTGACACATGCACGAGCTTCAGTAGCCGATTCGATCAAATGGAAGAAAGGGTATCAGTGATTGAAGAGCAAATGAATGAAATGAAGTGAGAAGAGAAGTTTAGAGAAAAAAGAGTAAAAAGAAATGAACAAATCCTCCAAAAAATATGGGACTATGTGAAAAGACCAAATCTACATCTGATTGGTGTACCTGAAAGTGACAGGGAGAATGGAACCAAGTTGGAAAACACTCTTCAGGATATTATCCAGGAGAACTTCCCCAATCTAGCAAGGCAGGCCAACATTCAAATTCAGGAAAGACAGAGAACGCCACAAAGATACTCCCTGAGAAGAGTAACTCCAAGACACATAATTGTCAGATTCACCAAAGTTGAAATGAAGGAAAAAATGTTAAGCACAGCCAGAGAGAAAGGTCAGGTTATCTACAAAGGGAAGCCCATCAGACTAAGAATGGATCTCTTGGCAGAAATTCTACAAGCCAGAAGAGAGTGGGGGCCAATATTCAACATTCTTAAAGAAAAGAATTTTCAACCCAGAATTTCATATCCAGCCAAACTAATCTTCATAAGTGAAGGAGAAATAAAATCCTTTATAGACAAGCAAATGCTGAGAGATTTTGTCACCACCAGGCCTGCCTTACAAGAGCTCCTGAAGGAAGCACTAAACATGGAACAACCAATACCAGCCACTGCAAAAACATGCCAAATTGTAAAGACCATCAATGCTAGGAAGAAACTGCATCAACTAAGGAGCAAAATAACCAGCTAACATCATAATGACAGGATCAAATTCACACATAACAATATTAACTTTAAATGTAAATGGGCTAAATGCTCCAATTAAATGACATAGACTGGCAAATTGGATAAAGAGTCAAGACCCATCAGTGTGCTGTATTCAGGAGACCCATCTCACGTGCAGAGACACACATAGGCTCAAAATAAAAGGATGGAGGAAGATCTACCAAGCAAATGGAAAACAAAAAAAAGCAGGAGTTGCAATCCTAGTCTCTGATAAAACAGACTTTAAACCAACAAAGATCAAAAGAAACAAAGAAGGTCATTACATAATGGTAAAGGGATCAATTCAACAAGAAGAGCTAACTATCCTAAATATATATGCACTCAATACAGGAGCACCCAGATTCATAAAGCAAGTCCTTAGAGACCTAGAAAGAGACTTAGACTCCCACACAATAATAATGGGAGACTTTAACACCCAGCTGTCAACATTAGACAGGTCAACGAGACAGAAAGTTAACAAGGAAATCCAGGAATTGAACTCAGCTCTGCACCAAGCGGACCTAATAGACATCTACAGAACTCTCCACCCCAAATCAACAGAATACACATTCTTCTCAGCACCATATTGCACTTATTCAAATATTGACCACATAGTTGGAAGTAAAGCAGTCCTCAGCAAATGTAAAAGAACAGAAATTATAACAAACTGTCTCTCAGACCACAGTGCAATCAAACTAGAACTCAGGATTAAGAAACTCACTCAAAACTGCTCAACTACATGGAAACTGAACAACCTGCTCCTGAACGACTACTGGGTACATAATGAAATGAAGGCAGAAATAAAGATGTTCTTTGAAACCAATGAGAACAAAGACACAACATACCAGAATCTCTGGGACACATTTAAAGCAGTGTGTAGAGGGAAATTTATAGCACTAAATGCCCACAAGAGAAAGCAGGAAAGATCTAAAATTGACACCCTAAAATCACAATTAAAAGAACTAGAGAAGTAAGAGCAAACACATTCAAAAGCTAACAGAAGGCAAGAAATAACTAAGATCAGAGCAGAACAGAAGGAGACAGAGACACAAAAAACCTTCAAAAAAATCAACGAATCCAGGAGCTAGTTCTTTGAAAAGATCAACAAAATTGATAGACCGCTAGCAAGACTAATAAAGAAGAAAAGAGAGAAGAATCAAATAGACACAATAAAAAAATGTTAAAGGGGATATCACCACTGATCCCACAGAAATACAAACTACCATCAGAGAATACTATAAACACCTCTACACAAATAAACTAGAAAATCTAGAAGAAATGGATAAATTCCTGGACACATACACCCACCCAAGACTAAACCAGGAAGAAGTTGAATCCCTGAATAGACCAATAACAGGATCTGAAATTGAGGCAATAATTAATAGCCTACCAACCAAAAAAAGTCCAGGACCAGATGGATTCACAGCCAAATTCTACCAGAGGTACAAAGACAAGCTGGTACCATTCCTTGTGAAACTATTCCAATCAATAGAAAAAGAGGGAATCCTCCCTAACTCATTTTATGAGGCCAGCATCATCCTGATACCAAAGCCTGGCAGAGACACACAAAAAAAGAGAATTTTAGACCAATATCCTTGATGAACATTGATGCAAAAATCCTCAGTAAAATACTGGCAAACCAAATCCAGCAACACATCAAAAAGCTTATCCACCATGATCAAGGTGGCTTCATCCCTGGGATGCAAGGCTGGTTCAATATATGCAAATCAATAAATGTAATCCATCATATAAACAGAACCAAAGACAAAAACCACATGATTATCTCAATAGATGCAGAAAAGGCCTTTGACAAAATTCAACAGCCCTTCATGCTAAAAACTCTCAATAAATTAGGTATTGATGGGACATATCTCAAAATAATAAGAGCTATTTATGACAAACCCACAGCCAATATCATACTGAATGGGCAAAAACTGGAAGCATTCACTTTGAAAACTGGCACAAGACAGGGATGCCCTCTCTCACCACTCCTATTCAATGTAGTGTTGGAAGTTCTGGCCAGGGCAATCAGGCAAGAGAAAGAAATAAAGGGTATTCAATTAGGAAAAGAGGAAGTCAAATTGTCCCTGTTTGCAGATGACATGGTTGTATGTTTAGAAAACCCCATCGTCTCAGCCCAAAATCTCCTTAAGCTGATAAGCAACTTCAGCAAAGTCTCAGGATACAAAATCAATGTGCAAAAATCACAAGCATTCCTATACACCAATAACAGACACAGAGTCAAATCATGAGGGAACTCCCATTCACAATTGCTTCAAAGAGGGTAAAATATCTAGGAATCCAACTTACAAGGGATGTGAAGGATCTCTTCAAGGAGAACTACAAACCACTGTTCAACAAAATAAAAGAGGACACAAACAAGTGGAAGAACATTCCATGTTCATGGATAGGAAGAATTAATATTGTGAAAATGGCCATACTGCCCAAGGTAATTTATAGATTCAATACCATCCCCATCTAGCTACCAATGACTTTCTTCACAGGATTGGAAAAAACTACTTTAAAGTTCACATGGAACCAAAAAAGAGCCCACATTGCCAAGACAATCCTAAGCCAAAAAAACAAAGCTGGAGGCATCATGCTACCTGACTTCAAACTATACTACAAGGCTACAGTAACCAAAACAGCATGGTACTGGTACCAAAACAGAGTTATAGACCAATGGAACAGAACAGAGCCCTCAGAAATAATAAAACACATCTACAACCATCTGGTCTTTGACAAACCTGACAAAAACAAGAAATGGAGAAAGGATTTCCTATTTAATAAATGGTGCTGGGAAAACTTGCTAGCCATATGTAGAAAGCTGAAACTGGATCCCTTCCTTACACCTTATACAAAAATTAATTCAAGATGGATTAAAGACTTAAATGTGAGACCTAAAACCATAAAAACCCTAGAAGAAAACCTAGGCAATATCATTCAGGACATAAGCATGGGCAAGGACTTCATGACTAAAATACCAAAAGCAATGGCAACAAAAGCCAAAATTGACAAATGGGATCTCATTAAACCAAAGAGCTTCTGCATAGCAAAAGAAACTACCATCAGAGTGAACAGGCAACCTACAGAATGGAAGAAAATTTTTACGATCTACCCTTCTGACAAAGGGCTAATATCCAGAATCTACAAAGAACTTAAACAAATGTACAAGAAAAAATCAACCCCACCAAAAAGTGGATGAAGGATATGAACAGACAGTTTTCAAAAGAAGACATGTATGCAGCCAACACACATGAAAAAATGCTCATCATCACTGGCCATCAGAGAAATGCAAATCAAAACCACAATGAGATATCATCTCACACCAGTTAGAATGGCGATCATTAAAAAGTCAGGAAACAACAGGTGCTGGAGAGGATGCGGAGAAGTAGGAACACTCTTACACTGTTGTTTGGACGGTAAACTATTTCAACCATTGTGGAATAGAGTGTGGCCATTCCTCAAGGATCTAGAACTAGAAATACCATTTGACCCAGCCATCCCATTACTGGGTATATATCCAAAGGATTATAAATCATGCTGCTTTAAAGACACATGCACACGTATGTTTATTGTGGCACTATTCACAATAGCAATGACTTGGAATCAACCCAAATGTCCGTCAATGATAGACTGGATTAAGAAAATGTGGCACATATACACCATGGAATACTATGCAGCCATAAAAAAGGATGAGTTCATGTCCTTTGTAGGGACATGGATGAAGCTGGAAACTATCATTCTGAGCAAACTATCGCAAGGACAGAAAACCAAACACCGCATGTTCTCACTCATAGGTGGGAACTGAACAATGAGAACACTTGGACACAGGGTGGGGAACATCACACACTGGGGATTGTCATAGGGTGGAGGGACGGGGGAGGGATAGCATTAGGAGATATACCTAATGTAAATGACGAGTTAATGGGTACAGCACACCAACAAGGCACATGTATACATATGTAACAAACCTGCACGTTGTGCACATGTACCCTAGGACTTAAAGCATAATTTAACAAAAAAAGAAAGAAAGAAAATGGAAGTGATGACTATCTGATGTAAATGAAAGAACAGAGAAAAGATTTCGACAACTGGAGTAAATATTTGAGAACATAGGAAACTAAGACAATAAACAAGTAATTCTAATTGCCAAAAATAATTTTTTAAAGTGTAGGAAAAGAAAGGTAATCACTGTTTATCCCATGGCTTAGCCCTTGCATGGTACACAGAATCAAAATGATGACCATGCTGAATATTATTCTAATCAAAATTTTAAATTACTATATTGGGAGGATAGTACATAAGAAGTGGGCATTTTGTGTATGTTGGAGACAAGGGAGGAGAGCGCTAGGTGATAATCTTCCATGTGAGAAGTCAAAGATGCCTGATTCCAAAGAAATCAAGAGGTAGCAATATAAGCATTTTATTTGAAAGTATGGGAGTAAATTCTAACAGAATCAGCTTAAAATGTTAAAAGTTGCTACTTCTTAAGAAAAGGGGATAAGGGATAATGACAGCTGATTGTTAACAACACTTGTAAACCTGGGTGACTCTTTAATGTATGTGCATTTATAAGCTTAATAAAAATAAAAGCTTAAAATATTTAAGACAGTCAAGCATCAGGATAGTCAACCCTACAGGCATACCTAAATCCCAGGGTGTACCGAAAAATGATGCAAGGCTAAAATGAATGATGCTGTCATTTGAAGTACTCCCGCAGATATTGTAGCCCATTCACTTCTGAAAATAGTCCTCTAAGGATAAACATTAGTGTCATTATTTAGTACAGATGAGAAAACTGAGGCTTGGTGAGTTTAAATGACTTGTTTGCAGTCACAATTAATTTGCTCATTCACTTATTCAGCAGGTATCTATGGATCACCTCTTCTGCATCAGCCAGGCTAGAATTTGGCCACAGACTTTTCAGACCCTAGAATCTATTTTCTTTCCCCTATCCCAATCTGTCTCCCATGAAACCAGATTCCCAAAACTAAAGAGATTCCATAGACAGACTCTTTAAAAGAATATGATTCTAAATGGAAGAAGAGCCTTTAAAAATATGTAATTCTGTCTATGCAAGTGAGACTAATTTAAATGAGAAGGAAATGAGATTGAAGGTCAAAGTACCTAAAATAGCTACAATATTATCTCCCTTTATGAGCTCAGATTTTTTAATATGCCAAATGAGCCAGAAAGAACTTGTAACCAAGAAAAAGTACAGAAAATAGGCACAAATCTATAAGATTTGAGTCAGAAAGATTGTGTACCCAAACAAGATAAAGTTTTATAAATGCTCCAGATCACTAAAAATGATTAGAAAGAATGTGGAAAGGGGGCTGCTCAAAGATGTTATAATGTTAACAAATACCAAAGAGCTCAGCTATTCTTCACTTCAATTTGTTTCTATTCTCCATGGAGGAAAATGAATTATAAACAGAAGAGAGTAGAATAAATATTGCTCAAAGGTGGTTGAAGACCAAAGCACGAGAAGAGATAATGAGTTTATACTTAAAGAACTTATATGGACTTAAATAAGTTTAATTTCCCAAACCCAATAGAATTGCATGTGAGGTTGTTGAACTTTTTTGTATATTTAATTACGGAGTCATCAGTGAAAACTCGGAGGCATCTGGAGAAACAAAGATTACTGAAATAGGAGGAAAGGTGAATATCAGAAACTAAAAACTGATAAAATGGAATAGATTCTAGATAATTCTAGGTAAATTGTTTAGCCATTTAGTAAACCTTTAAGAAGAGTGAATCAAAGGAAGAGGGAGGCTAGGCCTTGCGGAATAAAGCTATGTGAGCAAGACCACACGTCACAAACCCTGGCCCTTACTCCAGTTGCTAAAGCCACCCTTTCTCCTTCTCGGCCTTCACCCCTCATATCTAATCTTTTAGCAGGACACATCCAAAATATATCTTAAATCAGTCCTCCCATCTCCACTGCCTCCAATTGATCCAAGTCCCTTCTTCTCTCACTTAGTTTTTGTCATAGAATTCTGTAACCGGTCTTCTCTCTTCCATTCTCTCATCTCCAATCAATTCTTCAACAGCAAAGAGTTCTATTAAAAATGCAAACTAGACCATATTGCTCCACTATATGAAGCATCTCAATGGCTTCTCATTGTACTTTAGCTAATCCTAAATGCTTATAATCATATAAGGCCCTGCTTGATTGGACTCTGTCTCATTCTTCAAGTTACATTATGACTTAATTACCCTTTGGTACAATCTGCTGCAGTCTCACTGGCCTTTTGTCAGTCTGGAACACACTAATCCCATTCTGGCTGCAGAGCCCTAGGTGTTCCTTCTGCTTGGAATGCTCTTTCCAAATTCTTCTTCTCACTGCTCCTTCTCATCTTCCAGACTCTGTATTTCAGTCACTCTTCAACGATGCCTTCCCTGGCTGCTCTATATAGAGTAGGTTGTACCTAGAACTCTCTGTCTCATCACCTTGCTTATATCCTTCATAGGACCATCCCAATTGTAAGTATTTTCTTTGTTTTACCTTGTAATTATTTTATTCTGTAACTATTTTATTTGTTTTATTTTGTAATTATTGTATTTGTTTTGCACCTAATATAATGCATAATATTTGAAAGAGGCTCAGTTGACACCTGTTGAAAGAAGGAATGACTCCATGTTGAATGTATTTGTTTCAGAATGACAAATAACAAATTGCATGTGGTTTTGATGTTGATGTGATGGCTGCAGTAGCATGATCAATCAGATTCTGAGCTGGGGTAAAAAGGAAGATATACCATTGGATCGATACAGATGACATAAGGACCTAGCCTATTCAATACCTTTGTCAGTAACTTGCAGGAAAAGTAGAAAACATGCTTTTCGAGTCTGCTCATAACACAGAACCAGGAGGAGTAGCTGGCATTCTGGAAGACAACGAAGACTTGGGTAATGTCAGGTGGCTAAAGTGACATCAGAGTTGAAGCCAGGAAGATGCTGTTTAAACTGACGTGGGTCTTGTAGGGCTCAGGGAACTTTCTCACTGCAAACAAGAAGAGGAAGCACTGAACGACCAATGGTTGTGAAAGGCAGTCATTGTGATTAGGGGGTACTCATACAACTCATTTACTTCCCTGCCTATTGTGACTAAGGCTGGTTCCTGCCTACAGGGAATTCACAGTAATAATTTTAGCTACAATAGTTGGTCTGCAGGCTCCAGATACAAGTTGGTCATGGTCCCATGGTAGCCTGTCATCCCATGGACCTCACATGGATCAGGGTGTCCACTTCTGGGAGTCATGTTGGGAAATGTGTTGTCAGCCTAGAGGATTTTCAGAGATGAGACAATTTAGATGTCTAGAATTCTAAAACCGAGAACATCTGATAAAGCATGGTGAAGAGAACTGGTGCTGTATAACCAAAAAGATAAATTATTTGAGAGAGCCAAAAGGCTGTCTTCACATACTTCAGATGTGTTGTGTAATAATTGGTAGAGTCACTCCAGGACTATTCTGAGTGACAGGGCTGGGATGCAGAAGTGGGAGCCACAGGAGGCAGATCCTGCCTCCAGGTAAGCTGTGCTCTAAGAAGAATCTATAGCTTTTCTACAGTCTGGTAAGAGGACAGGCCATCCAGCAAAGGGGTGAGCCACTGTGGCTGGCATGTGCAAGCATGTACAGCATGACTTTATAAAGTACAAAGAAAGAATACGTGTGCCATGAAAGGTTGGTGCCTCTAGTCCCTTCCAACTCCAAGGGCAGCGATGCTAAGCCACCATCTGTGAGGAGAGCTCACAGAGGTCCAAACAGTATAAGCATATATCTAACGTCTGTTAGAGAGAGCAGAAATTAAGCTACTTTCATACTTGCGCTAAGATTTACTTTTGTGCACGTATGCCCTGTGGAACCTGTGGAGTTGGTGAGTGCAATATTCCTCAAAAAGCTCTCCTGTTAGCTTTGAACTGGCTATCTGGCTGGTGTCCACAGATGAATAAAAACTGACTGGGCGTGGTGTCTCACGCCTGTAATCCCAGCACTTTAGGAGGCCAAGGCAGGTGAGACCAGACTGGGCAACATAGCAAGATCTCGTCTCTACAGAAAAAAAGAAAAATGTTTTAATTAGCTAGATGCAGTGGTGTGCGCCTGCAGTCCCAGCTACTTGGGAGGCTGAGCCAGGAGGATGGCTTGAGCCCAGGAGGTTCAGGCTGCAGTGAGCCATGATCACGCTTCTGCACTGCAGCCTAGGCAACAGAGTGAGACCCTGTCAAAAAAAAGAGGCACTCAATTCTGTTTATGTATACACTAAGTGCCATTTTCCTCTGCTATATCCTGTAATAGCAGAAGAGGTTTTAGACAATTAAATAATACAAATGATTAAATTGGGAGTCTGTTTTCTAATGAAAGGAAACTATGATTATGTACTTTTCTGGCAGCCTTTAATACTTCCTACTAGCAATCCCTCTCCCCTCCAACATACACACACACACACACACACACACACACAGACACTCCTCATGTGGGTTCTTTTGAGTCAATTGACGATATAGTTGAAGTGCATTAACTGACATCTTCATCCCAGCATTCACACTTAACTTGCCCGGGTAAAAATGTTTTTATTAATAGCCTAAAAATTTAATGAGGGCCCTATCTTTAATATATATATATACACATATATATATGTGTGTATATATATATGTATGTATATATACATGTATATATACATATATATACATGTATATATCCACTGCTCCTTTTACACTAAATTTATAATGAGCCTTTGGGAAAATTCTGACATTCTTACATGCATATTAATTCCCATTAATTAACTTAAAGGCTAAAATGCAAATAAAAGTAGTTTTGGTCTTTAGAAAGGGCAGGGCTCAGAGTAAGAGAAGAATCCCTGACTCAGGATATTTTCTGTGCTTTAGTGAGCTGCTGCCTGATTCTTGATTCCTGCTCTCTGCTAAGACCAATATTGGACTACAAGACTTAAGCAAGTTTCCCAAGAAGCTGAGTCTATTTCTTCATAGTAGCATGCCAGGAGATGCATGGAGTCATAGAAAGACCATACCCAGGCCAAGTTCAAATCCCAGCTATATCTTACATGACCTTACTTATACAAGTTACTTATTTCAACAAAAAGTAAAGAGGTACACCACAAAAGCAACATAATTCAGCAGTTAATGGTGGCTGCAAAGACATTTTCCTGATTCTTCCTTTAGCTACCTTCAGAAATATCAAAGGGATCACTACAGCTCCATTTAAGAATAAGCAAAACTGACGTTTCTCCCATTTTGGACTGAAGAAAATGCCGGAGAAATGTCAAAGAATTTCTCCCAAACATAAAGTTCTGACATGCCTGAAATATTATTTTGGAAAAAAACACAAAAAGCACAATCAGCTATTATGTCCATGATGCAAAGATGCTAAAAATGGTTCCCTAGGCCTTGAGATCACTGGAAAAGGAGCTGCAGCAATGTTCTTGCTCAGCAATGTGCCCGTCCCCAAATGCACAGCCACACAAGCATTACTCAGCCATTACATGAGGACATATGGCCAAGACAGAGTTTGAACTTGGCATTTCAAAGCTGATGTTTGAGCCATTAAACCTTTCCTCCAGGATAATAGCCTCATGGAAGGGGGATGCCGGCAGGCATTCTTCATCATCTGGCCTCCGAACACTGTGACTCTCTGATTGTCCTACAGGAAGCTCTGCCACATGAGGGGAAGTAATTATGTGCCCAAGGAAGGCAGAGAATGCACTCAGTATACTTACAGAATGTGAAGGGATTACAAGGCATATCGCTGTGTTAGAACAAGTCTCTGGCAATCTACTCTGTCGAGATGCAGGTGCCTGGCACAGCCCAGTGGGTTGCAGCAAGGAGACAAAGGGCTTTCACTGCTTTACTTTGGACCCAGAGAAAAAGGCAGGAGAAAGAAGAAAGAGGAAGACGAGGAAACTGAAGATTTTTTTTTTAAATGGAAAGTAGCTACAAGTTAAAAGAGTGCTTCAGGAACACAAGGGAAAAGGAAGACATATACTAGCTTAATTAATAGAATTCAGATGAAAGAAGGGTGAAGTAATTAAATATTCATTATAGATCCTATAAAACTATGATAGAAAACAAACTCAATCAAAAGATGCATTGGAGAAACAAAAACTTCAAAAATTAAGAATTTGGAGGAAACAAGAAAAAATGAGCAAGTTGTTCAAATTGAAATGTCAATGTGACAAAGTGCTCTATGGGCTTTACATTTATTTGACTGATTTGCAAGTGGCAGAGCAGAATTTTGTAAAAGTAGACACTGTGGACCATAGTAGGTATTGCAAGATAAAAACTAGACAAGAGGATATGTCTGCGTTTAATTCAATTTACTCCTCAATGAACCAAAAGCAGAAAATTTCAGAATACAGGAGAAGACAAATGGAGCTCAGAGATAAAAATAATGATGATAATAACAATTACAAAAATAGCCAGCATTTTGCTATTATTAAGAAGTCAAAAAAACAACAGGTGTTGGCAAGGATGCAGAGAAAAGGGAACACTTATACACTGTTGGTGGGAATGTAAATTAGTACAACCACTATGGAAAAGAGTATGGAGATTTCTCAAAGAACTAAAAATAGAACTACTGTTTGTTCCAGCATTACCACTGCTGTGTATCTAGCCCAAGGAAAAGAAATCATTATATCAAAAAGACACCTGCATGTATATGTTTATTGCAATACTTTTCACACACAATAGCAAAGTCACAGAATCAACCTAAGTGTCCATCAATGGATGATTGAATTTTAACATGTGGTATGCATATACCATGGAATACTATGCAGCCATAATAAAAAGAAGGAAATCATGTTTTTTGCAGCAACATGGATGGAACTGGAGGCCACTATGCTAAGTGAAATGACTCAGAAACAGAAAGTCAAAAACTGCATTTTCTCGTTTATAAGTGGGAGCTAAACAATGGGTACACATAGACACACAAAGTGGAATAATAGACACTGCAGACTCCAAAAGGAGAGAGGTGGGAGGGGAGTGAGGGATGAAATACCACCTATGGGGTACGATGTACACTATTTGGGTGATGGGTTCACTAGAAGCCCAGACTTCACCACTATACAATATATCCATGTAATACAACTGCACTTGTACCCCCTAAATCTAAAAAAAGATAAATAAAAAATAAAAATAGCCAACATTTTGTAGAACATTCTCAGGTATCTGACAGTATGCCAGGCACTTTAAATTTATTATCTTGTTTATTCCTTGTAACAACACTAAGAAATACGCTCTATTACCAACTTATTTTACATGTAAGGTAAAGAACATTCAAAGGGATACACTTTTTCAAAGACACAAAATTATTATGTGGCAGAGACAATATCTGAATCAAATATCTGCTTGATTTTTGTGTTTAAGCCAATAAAATTTATATAAAATTTCAATAATTGTGTTCAGGCCATTTAAATGCAATCAGCCAATTATTTCAGTGGTGATTTATTCAATCCAAGCTACACACCACATCACATTTTGTAAATAAATGTGAAAGGTCTTTGTTACCTAGCACGTGGAAGTTTTTTATTCTGGGCCTCATCAAGCTGGTCCAAAATGGTTCTGTACATCCAGCTAGAAATATCCAGAAATGCTTGACACCAGTCGCCTAGCCTTTCTCACAAAGAAGCTTTGGCCTGGCCAATAAGAGCCACCTTTGGCACTTGTCTTAAGCTTCTCTTCAAAAGCTCTCTAGGTACATGTATTTTTAAAGTAATAGTTTTGGGGGAAAGAAAGAATTTTTTTCCAAAAGCCATCCTCCTAAAATAATAGATTAACTTAAAACTAAAAACTTATCACACTTACGAGAGAAGAGTGGGTGGGGGCATCTAAAAGATGGGCTGAGACACTGAGTTATGAATTTATATTTTAAAAGATTGAGAAAGTTTTTCTTTGATTTGTATTTTTATCTGAGCTAATTGATGCTTTGGAAAACTCAGAGTATTTCAAAGAGCCAGCTTTTTTATGTCCAGGCAAATCCTCTCATGTTACTTTCCAGATCTCTCAACCACATCTCTCCAGCTCTCACAAGACATTAATATGTAATCTCTACCAAGCAAAGGATCCAGTCATATCGTGAGTCACAGCACCATAGTAACACAACTACTTAATGGATAGGAGGATTGATCTCCCTCCTCCCATCTTCCCAATGGCTGCACTTGGGAATTTACTATTTCTACAAATCAAAGAAAAGTATTTGTGAATCATGTGGTGTTCTCAGTGTGCATTCGATTCTGAGAGAAAGAAAAGCATTCTCCCCTCCCATGATAATCATCAATAATCTCAAACTACAGAGGGCAGGATCTATAGAAGACGAACATCCATAAGAAAAAGACGAATGCTTCAGCCTCAGCAATCCAGATCATTCTTGCACAGATGCTTTGTAGGAAGCTCAAGTTTCAGTGTGGCCTCAGAAACACTGCAGACGTCCCTCCCCATCCTCCTTCTTCTTGCAGAGGGGAGGAGTGAGGACAGAATCACCCCAGCTTGTCTAGGAAAGAAAGACCTCACCAAATCGGTTAGGGAACTCTGGAGAGATCAGCCCTGTAAGCCTTAATATTGTCATCCAACCATGGGGTGCTCATGAGATTAAAAATAAGGCAGGACTATGACATCTAATTTATAGATTCAAAAACTCCAGTAGCATATTAATTAAACATCACATTTTATAGCCTCCATGCTAAGCATTTTGTTCACATCCTCTCCTGAGCTCTCTAACCAAGGTTCTAAACTGCCATCAGCCTGTCATTGATCCAACACCTCCATCCCAACTTTAGCCTCTTCTGAAAAGAATCCTACCTATTAAGCAGAATTCTCAAAGTACAAGTGTGTCAACTTCTCCTAGGAATGAGTGCATCAGTAGACTAAAAGAATTAAACTTATCATGGGGTGATAGTGTGTTTATCAGCTTCAATGGAGCAAGGAAATGCAGTCTTTTAATGTTTGCATTTGGACCCTAGCACTTGGCATGCTTTTTTCCTGAAATCCATTCCTTCTGACTTCCCTCATGAGATTCCTGGTCACTGGAAAGTCACACTCCCCACTGCTGTCTGGTCCTTAAGAAGATCTGTTTTTCCATAAATAGCCACAGAGAAGGGAACAACACAATTTAACAATCAGTTGCTCCCTGCACTTTCTCCAGGAGCCAAAAATAAATAAGTACCTTAATCTGGTTTGTTAAATTAAGCAAAGAAATATACTCAAGCCTTTCTCCATCTAGCTCAGCTTATGCTTTCCCCTAAGTATTTGCTTTTCACTTACTTCAGTGTTTTCAGAAGCCCACATAGAAAAACCACCCAAAAATTTCTACAAAAGGAAATAGCTGTAATAGAGAAAAAATTTTTCCTGAGATTTCAGAAATCCAAGTTTAACCTCTTTGATGTTCCACACACAATGTTCAGTAGTTGATCACAACCCCTTTTTTTCCTATTATATATAGTTTTAATACCCTGAGAAATAAAAGTGCTGAACTCTCTCTGATATTTTACTGAACTCCTGAACTATTCTGAGTTAAGTATGACAGATGCCCTAATGCTCGAGCTAGGGAAGTTGTTCTTTTAGTTCAGGCATGGAACATTTCCATTAAAAACCAGAGACCTCAGTTGTAACCTTGGCAATGCTTTCTCCACATGATTAATTATTCTTATGTGCACTGCAGTCCATTAGGGAAGTGTCAGTGTGCCTTAGGATGCAGACACCTTCACATGGATTATTTTGCTTACTTTGTCCTCCCCTATGTCTTCATCCAGCAAAATAATCACATCGTCTGTACTTTTATTTCAAATATTTTTTAAAGATTTTTATGACCTTTACTTTTTAAACTGTGTTTCTATTCAGAACTTTTATCTTGAAGAATTCTATGTTTGCATTACTGAACTTGTTGAGGTATAAAAAGTTATAATTTAAAAATGAAATAGTAAAATGTGGGACAATCATTTAGAGATAATTCAGAACAAATAAGTATCATGTAGGTTTTGTCATTTGAGGATCATTGTGACTCTTCTATTTATACATTTGTATGTTTATGTATTTCTCCATTTATGTTTTGATTCTTATAGACACATGATATGCTTTGTATATACCCATGGGTCATTAAACTGTATTTTCCAGAACTTTTGCCTATTTGGTTCCAGGGTTTCTATTTATACTTCAGAAATATATAATTGAGGTGAACCCCAGGGGAAGAGGACAATTGGTGATCTCTTCACAAATAGATGTGAGAGTAAAATTTTTACTGTACATTTCATAGGATAGTTACAAAAAGGTAAGCATTTAAGTAGGGGAATATTAATAGTTTTATAATCGAGTTAGTGAACAAACTCACTGCATTTCCTAATCTAGTTCTCATTTTGGAAGGCAAAAACTGCATCTCTAGCCAGCAGAGAAATATACAAAAATACACTTTTTAAAAACTTTTATGTTGCTCCTTGAAATTCCTTTACAGTGATGACTCTCAATAATTTGATTTTCCAGCCAAAACTGTGTACAAGGTATAAAGTCTATAGACATTTGTACTATCTTCTCTTTATTTTGGTTAATATATCTAATTTCTTCTAAAATTATTTAAAATGCTTGTTTTTAAAAAGTTAAGTTTTGAAGTAGTTAGATTAATTATGGCTCCTACTTATTCATAGTTCTTTGATGAGAGAGGAAAGGGAAAAAGAAGGAAAAAGGAGGAAGAGGAGCAACACATAATTATTTATGAAGAATGATTATATACAAGGCACTGTGCTAGGTGCTTTCTACAAATTATCTCTAGTGCTCCCGTCAACCCTGTCACTTGTCTCATTTTTCATTTAAGGAAATAGTGACTTGGGAAAGTTAACATATATGTCAGAAGTCACAGAGCTGCTAAGTGGCAGAGTTGAAATGATCTCTGCCCACATTCTGGTTCAATCCCACATGGAGGATATTAGTGGCTCTTGCTACAGCAGCTGTCAAGAAGGTCACTCAGAGCTTCACAGAAGCCTCCCAACTCTATACTCGAAAAAAGGCATCAGCCGTCCACTCCCTAAGAAGTTAATATTAGAACTTAATTACTCTGGCTTAAAGCCTTGATAGAAATCATAATTCAAACATTCTAAGAATAGGGAAAAGAGTGGGGACCTCTAATGAAGGCCTATTATACACCAGGTGCAGGACGTATCTTCTCATTCCCTTCCCTCACTCCTCTAATCCAGGTGCATTTGAGCCTTCCACCACCATAATACTCTGGTGGTGTGAATGAACAGTCTGAGACAGCCTCTGGTGAAAAGATAGATAATATTAAGAATGATAATGAAAATTAACATTTACACAATTGTTGCTACTAATTTTTATGGATCATTTGGAGGAAAATAGCAAAAGGTTTAAAAATAAACTACCATAGGTCAAACACTAACCAAATTAAGGAGCTCTTTAAACTCTTTATTTTCTGTATTTCCTCTCAAATTCTGTCTATGAACATATATATATATATATATATATATATATATATATATAAACATTTATTTGTTGAGTATGGAAAAAGCATAATAACAATATGAATACCCTACTCCTAGCCCAGCAAACCATCTCCCAACTCCAAGAATGTTTTTAAAATATTTAAATCCTGTTCAAGCAATGTTTTCTGTGTGTCCCAACAAGTTAAGCTCTGTGTTAAAAGTTCTGTAGAATATGTCTAAAACACACTGGAAATGTAGTGAGAATCTAAATAATATTCAGATATGAATATCTTATCTTATTCATATGAATAAGACATGAATATCTTTTTTTTTTTTTTTTTTTTTTTTTTTTTGAGACGGAATCTCGCTCTGTCGCCCAGACTGGAGTGCAGTGCCGCGATCTTGGCTCAATGCAAGCTCCGCCTCCCAGGTTCACGCCATTCTCCTGCCTCAGCCTCCCGAGTAGCTGGGACTACAGGCGCCTGCAACCACGCCCAGCTAATTTTTTGTATTTTTAGTAGAGACGGGGATTTTTAATAGAGACGGGGTTTCACTGTGTTAGCCAGGATGGTCTCGATTTCCTGATCTCGTGATCCGCCCGCCTCGGCCTCCCAAAGTGCTGGGATTACAGGCGTGAGCCACCGCACCCGGCTTGAATATCTTATCTTATTCATATCTGAATAAGACAGTAAAACTTAGACTAAGATTAAAAGAAGTTCAAAATAAGGAAGCTCGAGTTTCCAATGTTTGACTGCAATGTTTACAAACTTTTTTTCAGTGTAACTCAGAAATTCTTGTGATTTGAGTCATTTGATCCATACCCCATCTCCTAAAAGCCAGATTGCACCTCCTATGCATGGAGGTTTCTCAAAAAATTAAAAATAGAACTACCATACGATCCAGCAATCCCACTTTTGGGGATATATCTAAAGAAATTGAAATCGTTATCTTGAAGAGTTATCTGCACTCTTACGTTTATTGCAGCATTTCTCACAATAGCCAAGATGTAAAAACAACTTAAGTGTTGATGGATAAATGGAGAAAGAAAATGTAGTATATATATTGGTGGACTGTTATTCAGCCCTGACAAAAGAAGGAAGTCCTGCTATTTGTCATGACATGGATAAACCTGGAGGCCATTGTGCTAAATGAAATGAGCCAGGCACAGAAAGACAAACACTACATGATCTCATTCACATGTGGAATCTGAAGAAGTCAAACTCAGAAACAGAGAATAAAGAGGTGGTTGCCAGGGAGTGGGGCAGAGTGAGAAATGGGGTGCAGGGATTGGTCAAAAGTTACAAAATTTCACTTATAAGATGAATAAGTTCTAGAGATTTAATGTACAACATGGTAACTACAGTTAATAATAATGTATTGTATACTTCAAATTGCTAATAAATTAGATCTTAAACATTCTCATCACAAAATAATTATATGAAATGATGGATATGTTAAATTTATAGTAATCACTTCACAATGTATATGTATATCAAAGCATCATATTGTACACCATAAATATTTTTATGTGTCAAAAACTAACAACATAAAAATAATAACAAGAACAACAACTACAAAAACAAAAACACACAAAATGAATAGAGTTTAAGGTGTGTGTCCAGGATGACTAAAAATAAAGCTGTAAAGATAAGTCATGATGATATTGTGAAGGACCTGATTTGCAGTTCTAAAGAGTTCAAGCTTTATCCTGGAGGCACAGCTAGCCAAAAATTAAAATTTAAAAGTTTTTAAATCGGAAAATGACATGGCCACATTAAATCTTTGAAGAGAAAACTCTGGTGGTAGAAGAAAACACATTGGCGTGGAATGTCAATGACAGCAGAAAGACCACTTGGGAGGCTGAAGCAATAGTCCAAGCTAAAGATGGTTCAGCTCTAGGCCACTGCAGGGTGGAAAAGGCAGAACAGTTTCAGGAGATATTTAGAAGAAGATTTTTTTTAATGGATCAGAGGTAGAAGCTGAGAGGGCAAAAGGAGTAGAGAATAATTTTTGTGTTACAGAGATACGTGAATCAAGAGGAGGGCCAGGTTTGAGAAGAAAGACAAGGAATTCAGTACATGGTGTTTGATTTGGCTGGAGAATGTAGAGTTGTACAGGAGGTTGTGCAGTAGGCAATTGGAAGTAAGAATCTGGGCTCAAGGTAAAGGTATGCTGAATAACTAACTTAGTCCACCTTTCCCTGAAAAAAAAATCCCAGCTATTCAAATAGTCCTTTGAAAATCAGGAGCTGATTCTTCTTCTCTTCTATCACCCTGTGTTCACATCCCACTCTCTTCCAAAGATTTGCTTACTCTGTATATTAGAGGATAATTGGTGTGAGAACATTTTTATGAATATTGTACAGTAGCGGCAGACTGGGCATTTTAAACATCTTTGTAATTTCAATATTGTATGAGAGGAATGACTATCTTTCAATACTCCATGTGTAAATAACTCTATTCATTTAAAAGATATGTTTCTGAGTGACTGTTATACACAAGTCACTGTGTTAGGCAGTAGGAATATAATAGTAAGCAAAAATGTCAATGCAGTTCAAATAACTCTCCAGGCAGTGGAAGGAGACAGCCCTGACTCAAATAACCACACAGATGAGATTTGGTGCCCTGAGAGGAATAATACAGTTCACAGTGCTATGAGCACACAGAAGAAAATAAACTGTCCTAAAGAAGACTTCTTTCTAGTCTTCTAAGAGGATATCATAAGATAATGTTAGAGAAGTGGCCAGGAGTTGTAGATCTTATAAAAGTTATTTTTTAAGCCAAGAGTAATAGGAAGCCAGTGAAGGGTTTGAGCAGTGAGATGACATAATCCGATTTGCATTTTAGGAAATAGTCTGTTGAAAATACAAAGAACAGATTGCCTCTCTGTTTGCCATGGTTAGAAAGTTACCCTGTGCTGCTCTTTGTCCAAATGTAATTTCATTTTTGCAGAATGCCTGGAACCAGGGTTGGATCAAGTTAGGGCAAACCCGAAAATGACTTGCATGAACTCTTGTATGTTCATATAAGAGTCAGGCTGGCATCCTCCTGGTATTGGAGACAGCTTTGTGAGAGTTGTTCAAGTGACAGTGGTGGAAGGGTTGACCACTTAGAAATCCGTGCTTAATGGAGAGTGTGCATTATTAACAAATAATGATGTCAAACAACTATACATTTCCATAGGCAAAGAAAAACATGTTGATACAATGAAATTCACATCTCTAGATTCTACATTAGAGCATGTGGACATGTACTCTAAAATTAATTTCATTTGCCTTTTATTTTTAATCTACCACTTAAAATTGGACTCATTATATGTGGAACTGCACACACACTCAAATTTACTTCTATTTATTAGCTAGTATAAATACATTGAAATTTGTCTTTGGGCTCTTAAAAATCTTGAAAAGGTATACTGTTTTCTTTCCATATAAACCAGGTATGCAAATGATTGTCAGACAGGATTGTTGGTAATTTTTTTTAGGATCTCAAATCCATAAGGGATACGTAGCTTATTTAAGCTTTATTGTATTAAACTGTAGAATACACCATAAAATACTGATAGCACAACTTGCATCAAACAAGTAAACATTTGTTATGGGGACAGTAAAATTTACTTTTCACAAAAGGAGCCTACAGTAATAATGCATTCAATTCTATTTCCCAGAATGCTTCTTAAGTATGTTAATAAAGTCTTTATTGTGTCTGCTTGTAAAAGTCGCCACCATTTCCCATTAGAAAGTCTCTGTTTATTCATCAAACATTTACTGACAGTGACTGCTGGGAGCAGCCTCAGATTTCCACTCCATTACACATTTGTGGCATAAAGCACATTAATTATAGATATATTACAATATTCAACTCATTGAGGAAAAATTAGATGATCAAGGCTCATTTTCCTTGACAATAAGCAAGTTAATGAAAATACTAATTACCTGATGATGAAGTGGAGCCTTCAGGATTGAATGCTTAGCATCTGTAAAAGAGTTCTGCGAATCTAGCACAGAATATTAAAGCCAGAAGCATCGGAAGCCTATGAGATGGCCCTTGCAATTGTCCAGTGCCCTTTATTCAGAGAGAAAATGGTATTCAGAGGTGAGGCAGAGTTTTATAAACCATTTGGGGGAAGTCATTGAAAAGTTGGACTCTACCTGAAATTTTCAATCAAAAGTTGCACTCTTTACCTAAAATTTTTAATTAATATTATCTGGAACACAAATCAACTTCATTGTAAATAATTATACAAAGAATAGGCTCTTGTCAATAAGGACATTGCCATCTACTATTTATTTTGTAATAATGCCAGAACTATTTTCAGCCATTTTAAAATTGTAAGAGAGAAAAAGACATTTATTTAAAAATTTCCTTCTTTCAATTTCTAGAAGTTTAGACTGAATAAACTCCCAGCATAGAAAGTGAATTCATACCAGGTAAGGGTGTTATGGATTCTTAAAAATAGGCCCTTTCCAAATGAGCATATGAAAAAGTACTTAATATCATATGTTATTAGGGAAATGTGAATTAAAACCATAATGTGTTGCCTCTACACACCTTTTAGAATGGCAATTAAAAAAAAACTGACAATATCAATTGCTGGCTAGGATGTGAGACAACAAGAACTTTCATTCATTACTGATGGGGAAATAAAATGGCACATTCACTTTGGAAGATAGTCCGGCAGTTTCTTATAACATTAAACATAGTCTTAATGTATAATCCAGCAATCATGCTCCTCGGTAAATACCCAACTGATCTGAAAACTTATGTTTACATAGAAACCTACACATAAATGTTTATATTAGCTTTTTTATAATCACCCAAAACTAAAAGCAACAAAGATGTCTTTTTAAATAGATGAATAAGTTAAAAAAAAACTGTGGTATGTCCATATAATGGAATACTATTTGGCAAAAATAAAGTAATAAGCTATCAAGCCACATAAAGGTATATATGAATATAATATGCATATTACTAACTAAAACAAGACAGTCTGAAAGAGCTACACACTGTATGGTTCCAATTACATCACATTCTAAAAAAGGCAAAACTATAGAGATGGTAAAGCCATCAACGGTTGCCAGGGAATGGGGGACAGTGAGGATTGAATAGGTTAAACTATTCAGCCAGTAAGGCAGTAAACTATTCTGTATGGTATTGTAATGATTAACTCATGACACTATGCATTTGTCAAAACCCACAGAACTTTTCAGCACTAAGAATGCCTTAATTGTGCAACTTAAAAAAAAATCATTTAGGAGACTGGGGATGCCAGGATAAAATGCAGAATGTGATAAAAGAATCTAAATGTATACCAATGTATGAAATAACTGAACTGAAGGTAATGGTAGACAGAAGCTGCTAACTTAAGTAACTTTGGAAATGATTAGTGTCCATAAGACTAAAGGCAAAAAACATCATACATGAGCACCGTATTCTAGTTGATAAAGTTGCTCCCCACAAGAGGTAAATGATGGATAGTGGGAGCCAAACTGTCACTGTTGGAATGGAAGTTTACAGATAAGCAAGGAGAAGAAGCTAAAATGATCCATATGGTAATTAATTAGAGCAGGTACATCAATTATAGTAGGTACATATGCTTAGCTTAAATATTGATACATATAGTTCCATATATATACCACACAAAATTGTGTGTGTATATATATATATGTATATTATATATTTATAAAACCAAAACCACAATGATGGGGGTATGTGAAAGAAACATAGGAGTCAATTGAAAGAACTCCCAATGACCAAAGCTGGAACAATTTGAGCAAAAAATATAAGGTAGTATTGGATTGTAACCCAGAGTATAAAATAATGATCTATGAGTCCACAATAAATACATAAAAAATAACCAATCTCCCAGGCAGAAATGCAGTGCTCCAGTATTGCGCCACTGTACTCCAACCTGGGCAACAGAGTGAGACACTGTCTCAAAACAAAAAAATCAAAACAAAAAATCAAAACAACAACAACAACAAAATTACTGAAACAAAGCAAAACAAAAATCCCAAATAATGTATGTAGCTACTCCACCCTCAAGGAAATGGCCCATAACTGCACATAAAGATTTCCTTCTGAAGAGTATAGTATGGAAAGAAGAGAAAAGAGTAACTTTACAGTAAAGGAATCTGACAAACATTCTCTCAGCCAGAAGACCCAGGTTAACATCAGTAGTAATAAGTCATATTGATAATATGTACTCTTGATCTATGATGACAGAACTTTACCTGTAGTCTTCCTTTCTGTCACTTTACCTCTGTGGTCTTCATTCCAAAAACACAAGACTCCAGTCTAATCATGAAAAATCCCAATTCAGAGACATTCTACCAAATATATGTCCAGTGGTCCTCAAAACTGTCAAGGTCATCAGAAACAAGGAAAATCTGAAAAGCTTCCACACCCAAGAGGAGCCTAAGAAGAAATGACAATTAATGTAATGTGCTGTCCTGGAGGGAATCCTGGATCAGACAAATGACATTAGGTAAAAACTAAGGAAATTAGAATAAAATGGGGATGTTAGTTAATAACAATGTATCAATATTGGCTTATTGATTGTGACAAATATACCATAATAATGTAGACTGTTGATAATGGGGGAGATTGGTGTGGGGTGTAAGGTAACTCTATGTAGTATAGTTGCAATTTTTCTGTACATCTAAAAGTCTTCTGAAATAAAAGATTTTTAAATATAAGCCCTTTCCATGCATGCCTAAATTATTTCTCCCATTTCTCAAACTGGCAGTCTAAATTAGAATAAGCAAACTGCTGAGTATATCTTCTGATTTCATTCCAGCATCAATTTGTATTTCCCATGCTCTTTTGAATTCAACTAATAGCTCTGCACAGCCTCTCCCTTTTCCTGTGCATTATCCATTGAATGAATTCCAAATGACTCTGCTGTGGAATGGCCAAAGACCCCATTTGATGGATGGTCATTTTACACACCTGTTTTTTGGGTCTTTGATTAATGTGCTGGCATACATCTTATATAACTTCTCCTAATAGGGAAGTGAGGAAAACATACATTTGTACAAGCTGCAGTCCAGTGTGCTCCTCATCCAAAAGGCTTAATTTAGAAATAGTTACTTAATAATTCAACATGGACAATTCCTTGATTCCCATTGACTTTCAATTCAATCAGTAAAGCTGCCTCTTGGATTTTCCATTATTATGAAGACTGATGTATTTTATAAGAGCAAACAGCTGCTCTGGCAGATTAATGTTCCTTGTTGTCACCCTGCAGTGAAAGCTTACTTGGAATTCTTTTCTTGTGAAAAGCAGTTTGGAGCCAAAGAATTTAATCGGCTGACCACCAATGACGTTAACATGGTCCTCTGCCCCTGGGTTGGTTCTTATAACCCTTGCCCACCAAAGTACAACAAGATCTTCAGATAGATGGCTCTCCTGAATTAAAGGCCACATATAGTGAGATGCCCGAGGACTTGGAGTTGAGAGAACTGGGCTCTCTCATTTCAGACTTCTCATTTACTCTGGACAAGTCACTTAACCTCTGCAGGCTTTAGTTTCCCTCCCTTCAATGGGAACAATAATACTTGCCTGGATTTTCTCATAGACATAGGCAAGGATCATGGATTTATTCAACAAATATTTCTGGAGTACCTACTATGTTGAGGTCAATGTGGAAAACCCTGAGGATGTAACAGGCAAAGAAAAAAAACTGTTGATCTTGTGGAACTTGCATCCAGTACAAAGACACAGAGAGTAAAAACTAAAATACATGGTACTTTGATGGTTATAAGTAAAATAAAAAAACTAGGCAGAGAGATGGAACTCTTTGGGAGGAGGAGAGGTCATTTGTTTGCTTGTTTTGTTTTTAGTTTGTTTGTTTGTTTTGAGATGAAGTCTCGCTCTTGTCCCCCAGGCTGGAGTGCAATAGTGCAATCTTGGATCACTGAAACCTCTGCCTCCCAGGTTCAAGCAATTCTCCTGCCTCAGCCTCCCAAGTAGCTGGGATTACAGGCAAGCGCCATCATGCCTGGCTAATTTTTGTATTTTTAGTAGAGATGGGGTTTCACCACGTTGGCCAGGCTGGTCTCAAACTCCTGACCTCAGGTGATCCTCCCACCTCAGCCTCCCAAAGTGCTGGGATTACAGGGATGAGCCACCATGTCTGGCCTTTTTTCTTTTTTTTTTTTTGAGACAGAGTTTTGCTCTTGTTGCCAGGGCTGGAGTGCAATGGCACAACCTCTGCTCACTGCAAACTCTGCCTCCCGGGTTCAAGTGATTCTGTTGTCTCAGCCTCCCAAGTAGCTGGGATTACAGGTGCCCACTACTACGCCCGGCTAAGTTTTGTTTTGTTTTGTTTTGTTTTGTTTTGTTTTGTTGTTGTTGTTGTTTTTGTAGAGACGGAGTTTCACCATGTTGGCCAGGCTGGTCTCAAACTCCTGGCCTCAAGTGATCCACCCGCCTCAGCTTCCCAAAGTGCTGGGATTACAAGCATCAGCCACCACACCTGGCTGAGGAGAGGTCATTTTAAATATGGTGATCAAAATAGGCCTCACTGAGAAGTGACATTTGAGCAAAGACCTGAAGGAGATGAGGGAGCCAGCCATGAGGCTGTCTGAGAAAAGGACATTTTGAGAAAAGGAAACAGCAAGTGAAGAGTAGGCTGGGATGTTCAAAGAATGGTAAGAAAGGCCTGTGTGGCTGGAACAGAGGAAGCTGTGTGAAGAATAGTAAGAGATGAGGTTAGATAGCTAATGGAGAGGACAGTCCAATTAGGTAGAGCCTTGTTCGCCATTGTCAGGACTCTTGGATTCTACTTGGGGTGAGATGGGGAGCCACTGAAGATGGGGAGCCATTTTGAACAGGACAGTGACATCATCAGTTCTATGCTTTAACAAGATCCTTGTAGGTAGGAAATAGATGATGGGCAAAAGTAAAGCAGTGAGGTTGAAAAGCAACTAGATTCTAGCTATAATTGAAGATATAGTCAATCAAATTTTCTGAAAGATTAGATGTAAGATATGAGAGAAAAAGAGGCATCTCTTTCCAAAATTCTTGTCTTGAACAATTGAAAAGACAAAGTTGCCTTAACTGGCACAGGTAATACAGTGTGAGAAAGAATTTTGGGGGACAGGGAAGAGCAGAAGCTCAGTTTGGGAAACACTATGTTTAACGTGCCTGTTACATATCCAGATGAAGATTAGAAGAAGATAACTAGACATATGGGTCCAGAGTTTGGAGGAGAAGTTCAAACGGGAGATAGAAAATGTGTAAGTCATCAGTTGATAGATGGTATTTAAAGCAATGAGATGTATTGGTCACCAAGTGAGCCAGGATCTTAGGAAAACAGAAGAGCTGCTCCAAGGATTCAGCTTTTAGAGATTCCAATGTTAAAAAGTCAAAAGAGGACATGCGCGGTGGCTCACGCCTGTAATCCCAGCACTTTGGCAGGCTGAGGCGGGCAGATCACCTGAGGTCAGGAGCTCAAGACCAGTCTGGCCAACATGGCAAAACCCCATCGTTACTAAAAATACAAAAATTAGCCAGGCGTGGTGGCACGGGCCTCCTAGATACTCAGGAGGCTGAGGCAGGAGAATCACTTGAACCCGGGAGGTGGAGGTTACAGTGAGCTGAGGTTGTGCCACAGCACTCCAGCCTGGGCAACAGAATAAGACTCTGTCTCAAAAAAAAAAAAAAAAAAAAGAAAAGAAAAAAGAAAAAGAAAAAAAGTCAAAAGCTAGAGAGGAATCAGCAGAGACCACTGATCAGAGGCAACGGTTGAGAATGGAGCCAAAGGAGAGTGTAGTGGTAGTGACCCAGAATCTAAGAGAAGTGTGGTAAGGAGGAGGGAGTTCCCAACCACATGAAAAGTTGTTGGTAGGTCAAATGAGATAAGATCTGAGAACTGACCTTTGGATTTAGTAATGTGGAGAAATTGTGACCTTGTTTGGAGGCAAGAAAGAATATAATTGCAGTGGGCTCACGAGTAAATGAAAGTTCATAGTTTTGATGATTGTGTTACAGTTGCGTAAAATGTTAACATTAAGGAAAGCTAAGTAAATGGCATATGGGAATTCTCTGTATATTTTCGCAACTTTTCTCTAAATCTAAAATTGGTTCAGAATGAAAAAGTGGAAAAAGTATATAGGAAGAAAGCAGGTGGAGACAGTGCTGTAGGCAAATTTTTCATGAAGTTTTCTTAAAGAGGTAAGAAAAAATGGATGACAGCTTGAGAAAATTGGGTCAAAGAAAGGCTTTTATTTGTTTGGCTTAGTCTTTTTTGTTTGTTTATCTTAAGCTAAGGACAACATCATGTTTGTATGCCTATTGGAATCATCTGGTAGAAAGATAAAAAAGTGATGATGCAAGAAAGAGATGAATATCACTGAAGCAATGTCCTTGAATAGAGCAGATGCAACCTAGAGTTCCTGTGGGGATGCTGGCCATAGCCATGAGGGCAGATGGAAGGGTACAGATGCCATATGCAAGTAGATGTGCAAATCCTGTCTGATTGTTTCACGTTTCTCACCAAAGGGGGAAGCAAGTTCACACATGAGAGTAGGGATGGTGGAAGAAATGCAAGAGTGTTCAAGTTTTAAAGGGAGAGGAAAAGGAGCGAAATAGTCACCTCTAGAGAGAGGGAGAACCAGTGACAGCATTCGAGATACTAGAAAATGATTAGCATCCATATAAGAAGGAAACACTGGGACCTGGGTGTGCAGGGGTGAACTGGTTGATATTCCACTCTCCTGTCTTCTGATCATTATCAATAGCGGTAATTTGAATTGAGAGACAGGCCATGCCAAGGAAAGTTCTTGAGGCAATGGCAAAGCCCACCTTAAGACATTATAAAAATCGTCACACACCCGATATTGAACAACTTTCCTCTCAACTGCTAAGAGGCAGAATTAAGATAATATCATGCATTCCTCTGTTGGAACTGACCAAGTTACACCTCACAGATAACATGCATTTAATCGTATATGCTTATAAATATATAGGTTTTTAAAGCAGTGACTTAATTCATCAATAGAAAATCCAAAAAGAGAGTCCAAAAAGAAATTGAATAAGTTCTATCTTCAGCAAACCAAGTTCTGCCCTGTGATATTAAGTGTCCCTGCCAATTTCAGAGGAAGAATATGTTTCCCCAACTACCAGCTTTATCTCAGAAGTAGGGTTGGAAAAGAGAAGCATCCCAGGAGAATTGTCTCTCTCTGCTCAGCAGTACAGGGGAAGACTCCTAATTGAGTGACATTTCAACCAAGAGTCAAGGGAAATTGTTACCGCCTACCAAATAAAGCTTCTTGTTCTGCAAGCTGGTTCCCTGATCCTTGGGGAACAGAGGAGAAATGTTTGTCTTAAGTTCCCTGAGCTAGTGGCTACATTTGTCTCCGCAGAAGAGAACAGATGAATAACCAAGAATAAAACATCCCAAGATGAGATGGAGAACGTAAACAACTATTTTTGCAGGGCATGGTGGCTCACATCTGTATTATCAGCACTTTGAGAGGTCAAGTCAGGAGGATTGCTTGAGAATAGGACTTTGAGACCAGTCTCGGCAACATAGCAAGACCCTGTCTCTATAAAAAACTTAAAAATTAGCTGGGGCTTGTGGCAGGTGCCGGAAGTCCCAGTTACTTGTGAGGCTGAGGCAGGAGAATCCCTTGAGCCCAGTAGCTCAAGGCGACAGTGAGGTATGGTCCTACTGCTGCACTCTAGCCTGGGTGACATAGAGAAACCACGTCTCTTAAAATATATATATATATAATATACTTTGGACTAAACACACCTGTTTGTGGAGGAAAAAGGAAGTTTGAAGTTTTATGGAGCTCTCAGAGGGAATCAAATTTCCAGATAATTGCAAATTGTTCATGTCAATGCCACTGAAGTAACACGTTTTCCTCAGAAATCCTGATTAAACTGGGTGAATTTTCTACCCCAGAGATTACTTTATCTCCCACCCCCACTGGCACATAACAGCCTCTAGGAGCCTAGGTTCTTTCTGCAGACAACACAAAATAATTGTGTTTCTCACAAGTGTGCTTGTGAAAAGGGAACCCTTTTTTTTTTTTTGGTTGTTTAACTTCTAATTCCTATCAAATTCTATCAGGGCTGGTGGCTGGCCCTAGATATTTGCTAATGTCCTGGTTTTGACCTAAGCATTTTTGTATAATTTTATCCCTTAAGCATGGTGTGTTGTGGTTAAGTTAAAAAAAAAACACTTTGAAACTATTAGAAAGAAATTACAGAGCTGGAATCTCAAGTACCATCCCAACTGTTACAAGGAGCTAGCTGGCCAGGAAGCCGTAATGCCCCCATTAATAAAGCTATTAATTTTGAAAAGCTTTGACAGCTATAACATCTTTTTTAAGAAAGCAAAAATACTTTTCCTTTATCTTAAAAATGCCTTCTTCTTTGTATGGAGCAGCTGCCTCAAGCCCCCTTCCACTGCCTGTTTTAATTTGTCTTTAATATCAGATGTGCCTTATCGATTTCTTCTGTGTATATTTTCATTCTGAATAATTCAGAGGCAAGATTTTTTTTCCCATTATGGTCAATAGCAGGGGCAAATTTTGAGGATAATCAATTGAGCCCTGACTGACGATTCCTGCTGTTGGTAACCCCAGAAGTGAAGAAGGGGGAACAGCAGGGGATAATACGATCCAACAGTCAATCACAGCTATCAGCAAAGGAGCCAATGCGGGTTTGTGTGAGGAATAGAGATCCATACTGCAGGCCCAAAAGGCTTGCTAATAGTGTGCTCTTTTTACTTTTCAATCAACGGCACTCCAGCTGTGCTGGGGAGAGTTATGGTCCATTCTCATATACATTTTCCTTTCTACTAATGTTTAAAAGCCATGTTTTAAAGGGGTCATCTTTTGTGTGAATATGTACATCTTCTATGCATCAATTCTTAATGATTTGTTCACATTTTAGCCAAGCTCTTTTCAAAATAGGGTAGAAAATTTGGAAAGCTTCCAGGAAATCAGTACAGGGAATAAATAATTGTCACTTTTAAATTCAGATAATATGGTTGAAAATTAATTATCATAGGGCTGACAGAAATAATACAAGTTTGCCTAGTCTCCCCTCACCTGCAGTAGGAACACATTTTCTGTGCCTGTTTTGACACTGGCCCTTGTCCAAGTCTTTGACACACTCAATTTACTACAAAATTGGCAACCCTCTGTCTCCTAAAGGTATCCAAGTGTAACAATAAATATTGGTCTCCATACACACTATGATTAACATAAGTCAGAGTAGACTTAATCAGTATCAAATTATTTGGCTTCCATAATTTTAGTATTTTATATTTTCATCTCTTTCTTAAGATATTTTTATAAAATCCTGATTTAACAAGATGTGCTAGAGGCAGCCGGGTTTTTGCATTCTCTTAGGGATGTGGAGATCGGACCCAAGTGAGGAAAAGGGACGCTCAGGTTAACACAAGCAGTTCAATTTCAATTATGTGGAGTAAATGGTCTTTTTCAGGTCTGATGATTTTTGAAAACTATTTGAAGGTCTGCTGTGATTTACATGCAGTTTGCCTTGATCTGCTAAAAGAAGGGCTTTCATATTACTTGACTCAAGTATTTGAATGTAATTATGAAATATCTCCTTGCCATAAACAGATATTCCTAAGGAAATATTTAACAACCAACCAAACAATCCCTAAAGAATTGTCGGATATAAAATAAAGGCTATAGAATTAATATCTTCTACAAAAGTTACCTGGTTTTCTTATCTCCAGAGGAGATTCATAAAATTGCAAAAACATCTCTAGTTAATTCCTAAATAGCTTATAGTTAAATAATAGCACAATGTATGCAAAGTAAAAGAGGAAATTAGAAGTCCTGGTTTAGTTTACCATAGATAACTTATTTATAAATCTCTGTAATTTATTATTAATATCCTTATACAATAATCGCTCATGCATATAAACACAGTTAACCTTAAAAAATTTTTTCTGATTCCTCTTTCTTTACAAAAAAGATATTTTGGCTGTAGAACTCATTAGTTTTAAAGGTTTTTGAAGACATTTTAAAAGTACGCTACCATTTAGTTTATGGGGGAAAATAGTGATTCTTTGTTCATGACCTTATTTTATTCATCAATAAATTTCATGGAGGAAAAAATTACTCTTATTAAAAAGTATGGTTTTCTTGGTATTAATTTTGGAGTTAAGGCTTATATCTCAGAAAAAGTAAATAATACATTATTTGTAAAGTTAGGGTTTATTTTGTAAATATCAACAGTGCTTTCATACTACAAATTATAATATCAGTACTCATATGCTCCAATTGTGGTCTTTGACACAGGTCATCTGACTTTTTCTTGTTCTTGAAGGGTAAAATACAATTTGGAGGTGACAAACTCTTAGAGAATTAAGTGGTGGATTGAGCTGACATGTTGCCTTAAAATGAAGAATAAAACGAACAAACTGATGTTTTTTTTTTTTTTTGGTAAATGGTTGGTAACATACATAGCAGCAAGCATTTGCTAGCATTGATTATTGATTAAATGCTGATCTTTAGCTAAAATATGTCATCAATAGAAAACTGGCAAACAGCCTCTTCTAAAGCCACAACTAGAGATATTTAACACTGCCAAAATTAGTAATACAATGCTTTCAGCTGGTTTTTCCTGGTCAGCTATAAATGTTAACAGGCTGATATTAAAAGTTGATATCAATGTTGATATCAAAAGTATAGATCTGCCTTATGTTAAAATAAAAAGGAAAAAGAATTAGTCTCAGTAAGAAGATCTGGGTTCTAGTGCCATGTTAGGAGTGCTACAAACTTGCTGTATAATTTTAATTGGACTAATATATAACAACATTAGTAGGAGTTTTGTTTGAACCAGAGATCACCTCACCTATGAAGTAGGTATCACTATTATTTCCATTTTGCAGATGAGGAATTCAGGGCATATGGAGGTAAATAATTTGCCTGAAGTCATACATTTAGTAAGTGGTAGAGTCAAGGGCACCAAAACTCAGATCTCGCCAACTCTTAACTACCATGAACAGGTGTTGTCTCTACAAATGTTGAGGGGAAATCAAGTGGTCACGCTATACTTTTAAAATCTCTCATTCCTCCATTTTATATGCATTCTCAAGCAAAGGATTCCCTGATTGATTGATGGATGGATCGATTGATTGATTTTTTCTTTCCTTCCTTCCTTTCCTTTCCTCTCCCTTCCTTTCCTTTCCTTTCTTTCTTTCTTTCTTTCTTTCTTTCTTTCTTTCTTTCTTTCTTTCTTTCTTTCTTTCTTTCTTCTTTCTCTCTTTCTCTCTTTCTTTTTCTTTCTTTCTTTCTTTCTTTCTTTCTTCTTTCTCTCTTTCTTTCTTTCTTACTTCTTTCTCTTTCTCTCTCTTTCTTTCTTTCTTTTTTTCTGAAAGAGACTTACAGTTTCCCATATGCTTCCTGTCACTATGGGGAGGGAAAGAGCAGAGATCCTTCTTAAGAAAGTCACTGAAATGAGGAAGGGGCACCATGGCCAGCTCACTGCCCTCCCCTCAAGAATCTTGGCAAATCAAGAGAGAGGGTCTTGGCAGCAGCTGATGATAATGATCTTACCATAGCTCGAACATCCTACCTCAACCTTGCCAAGGAGATGCAGGACTGTGACAAGAAAAAACAGCATATGCAAATAAATAGCTGGAGGACATGCTTTCTTTCCAGCATTGTCCTTGGGTCAAGATAACTCATAGCCCAGGCAGGCTTTAGGCATTGTGAGAGTCAATAAATGATAATACCCTATATAATGCACTTCTGTTCAAAGCAACTTCATTTCTTCAATAATTAACAGGGAGAGCTCAGGAGACCTAATAGCTTGATCTCAGGCAGAATTGTAAGGTCAGGAAATATATATGGTGGGACAAGCATAAGTTTGGGTCAAACCTTTTTTCCATATCCATATCTTAGGTAATTTATATAAGTTCTTTGAGCTCTGGTTTTCTCACCTAGAAATAAAGTGTAACAAAATCTGTCTCATGGGTACATCATTAAAATGTATATCAACATAGGGTGGTCATGAGAAATCAGCAAAATAATGGGTATACAGTCCCTGTTACAAAGCAGGAGTTTAATCAGTTATCACATTTTGTATTATCGTGACAGACAGATGTTTCTGTTACTGTATCATCAAAGGAAGATACCACCTTGAAAATTCACTCCAAAGTTGAACATCCCTTACAGAGCAGGAAGCTAGTACCAAAGATCCTGGATTGAGAAATGTCAGGAAAAGGGAAAGATGAGATCAAGATTCCCATCAGGTGCCTTAATTTTCTATTCATTTGTCCGAGCTAGACCTGGAAGCCCAAGCTCAGTCTAAACTGCACTAAAGGAGAGCACGGTACCATGGTCATGTGCCCTGGCCCCTGTCTTAAGGGCCCCATGGACCTATCTCCATATGCCCAATAGGATACATTTGTGTCTGTATATTTCAGTTTATAGTCCTTTAGTAGCCTAGAAATATATTGAAGCATTATGGATAAAATTTCAACAAAGTAAATGACAGATTTTTATATGTGCATTCAAGAAAGAAAAATATGTCTCTCATGCAGGCCATAATTGTAGAACTTATGCTAATGGAAATCATTGTAACGCTTTATTCATGAGGGTCATTTATAAATGATGTATGAATGTCCATAAATGTCTCTCTTATTTGCTATTAATAGTTAGGAATGCTATTATTTTTACATAAGCCAAGTGTGATTCCTTTCAAGTGGAAACAACAATAGGTATAATGTGTTGGAATGAGTCTACAAATAAAATAAGCATATTTTTGCCTGGTTATTAACTACAATAAAGTATTTCCACATGGGTTATTTAAGGTTTTATTTAGATTTCATCTTTAATTTGGGAAAGCCTCAGGGTGCTGTTTTCAATGAAATGTATCAATCATAACACTTGGAACCCAATTATTACACTTCAGCTAAATTACTTACTGTGATCTTACCAGTTAAAGTACACTTCAAAACCACAAGTGAGTTGTCATAAAAATATTTTCTTTTTCTCAGACTCTTTTTTTTATTATTACTAATAATATTCTTTAATCAAATTTGTTTAAGGGCAAGGCACCATCTCATGTTGACATTACCTGGCACAGTGAGGAGAATATAAAACCCACAGTTACTGGTCTTTTGGTTTGGCCTTTCCAGAAAAGGATCAAACAGGACAGAGTCAAATCCTAACTTGCCCTCTTCCCTACATAGAGGAAGGATGGGCTGCGAGTAGAAGTGGATGTTCTTGAAAGATCTGTTGGAAGTTGGCATATCTTATAAAATGCTCCATTGATAGAATGTCATAAAATGGTTTGTTTCTGTTTAAGAAGAAAAGGTAAATGCTCTCCAGGGTG